>NC_000010.11:78930974-79082489 GCF_000001405.40 Homo sapiens
CAGGGGAAGCATGCCTTCCCATGGCTCCCAGGTGAAGAACAGAAGAAGAAGCACACTCTGACCTCCTTGTCCATTGGGGTGTGTGGCACACATTGGCTGGGCTCTCAATGTGGGAGTGCCCTGGGGACGAGGACCAGACTTGGTTCATCGTTGGCCCATTAGAGATGCTGGATGGATATTTCTGGAATGTATTTGTTGTTGAGGGAAACTCATTCCTCAGTGAAGAGGATCAACATTTGGGCCCCAGAAGAACTGTGCAGTTGTTTTGAAAAGAAGGAGTGGAAACTACTGACCTTCAAAGCAAATCTGAGCTGAGGGTGTGTCTGAAACAAAACACACAAAGGGAGGTGGGGGCCAGGAGGGGACAGGAAGACCTTCCAGCTTTGGTGTCGCACCCAGGAGAGCCTCTTCCCGAGCCAGGAGGAGGTGGAGCTCGGGTCGGGTGGGAGTGCCCCTCCTTCCCTCCCCTTGCGGTCCTGCAGGATGCTGCTGATGTTCCATCGACTCCCTCTCGGGTGGGTGTGGGGCTGGCTTCCTCTGAGCAGGTTCCCCTGCAAAGGGAGTCCTGGGGTCCCTGGAGGAAGGCAGAATGTGAGTGAGGCTCGATCCAGCCAGGCCAGCAAAATGGTGCCCGCGGCTGCATGGCCGCATCGATCCTGTGGGAGAGGGAGGAGGGCTGGCGGGGCCAGGCCTGCTGTGCTCAGCAGGTATCTCGTCTGCTCTCTCCTCGGCCACGCCATGCAGCCTTGAGAGAGTCTGTTTGCAATTACCGCTTGTTTTGATTATTAGGTCAGAATATTCATCTCAAAGGGCTTATGATAGAAGGCCAGAGCAGGACGGTATTTCTCATTCCAGACTAAATCTCCCAGTCTTTTTGTGTGTGCGTGTGTATTTTTCCCCTTTTCCTTGTTTAACCAATTTATTCAGTTTTTGACTCCAGAAGAGGGATGGCTGCAAGAGGCAACCCCAGAGGCCATGAAAGCAGTGACCCTGGACCACAGGAGGGGAAGGAACCCCACCCAGTGAGAAAGCCAGCATGGGGCGGGCTTTTGACTCATCCGGAAGGCAGCTGGCTGCTGGAAACAGAGGCTGGTGTTGGGAGAGTCGTAGAAGCCCAGGCCTGGGAGGAACTCTGGATGTCAACCGTCCAACCTCAGCACATATTTTGTTACCTCTGCAGCATCTCCACCAAGTAGTTAGGCAATCTCTGCTCCCATTCCTCCAGGGATGGGGAACTCACTACCTCCTCAGGCAACCTGGCTCACTGGGCATCAATTCCAGAAAGGAGAATGCATCCTTTCTTGTAAGAGTGGTGAATCCTTGACCTCTGAGACTTCTCTAGGCAGAATACCCTGTTTCTTCAACACACTGAGTTGGATATGTACCCAAGCCTCATGATCATCCTGAGTAAATGCAACCCTCCCCACGGGGTCTGAACCCCCAGAGAAGCAGGATTTCCACCTCCCTCCTTCCAAACAGCCTGCCTCTCTCTCCTCGGAGACGTTGCTGCTTTTTGTCAGATCCAGGTCTGGAGCTTCCAAAACTGAAGAAAATGTCCTCACAGGGTGCAGTGTGATGGCCGCCCCTTCCCCCTCTGGAGCCCTCTTCATCTGTACTCACGGCCCAGGCTCCTGAAAATGAGTCCTTCACGAGTCCTCAGGATGAAGAGGAAAGGGGGAAGAAAAGAGAAAGGGAAGTCACAGTGCTCTCAGCCCCAGAAGAGTCGGTGTGGCTTTCCTAGCCTCAAAGGCATGGCAGCCTGACTTCTGGAAGAGAGAGAGAGAGAGACAGAGGAGACAGATAGACAGAAACAGAGAGACAAAGACAGATGGAAGCAGAGAGAGATCAGGGTCTCCTGTAGACCCCCTGAGCACTTCCAAAGATCGTTATCCACGTCGGTATCACAGCTACTTTGGGAAATACACACCCATGTGATTTCTATGATGACCATTTTGCAGCATTAAAGAAAAAGATGGAGCTGAAAAACACAGAGGCCACCAAGCTAATAAAGGTTGGCACCAGGAAATGAGGCAGAGAGGTTCTTTGGGGCAGAGCCTTGTTGGCAGGCTCATGGGCGGCCCACAGACTGGCAAATTTGTTTTAGATGGCGTGATAACATAAACAAAATTATTTCTTGTCCAAACAAGCTCTTTGGGATTGAAAGGGGATGCTAGCCACGTTCACTCAGGCCACGGGCGCAGCCCTGGCTAACAGGGACATACGGCCCTGCTGCCACGGAGGCCTCCAGCTCCAGGTCCCCAAGCCAGTCTCTCCTGCTCTGCCATGCCCACCCCAGAGAGTGATCCAAAGGCACCACCCATCCAGAAGCAGCTCCGAGGACAGTGCAGAGACTTCCTTTCGGCTAGCGCCCACCTTCTTCTAGAATGCAGATTGCTCTGTCCAGTTGCCCGCCAGACATCTCCTCCTGGATGGTCCATGGGCCCCATGAGTGAGCCTCCTCTAATACAGACCTGCAAGGTGCCAGTATCATGTGGGCATCTGCTCTGCCCCACAGTGTGTGTGAGGAGCCACAATAAAGGCCAGCTCTCAGCATGGACTTGCAGCCTAGAGTTCAGTCTGGTTCCTTGACCTCCCCACAGATCTGGCTGCATAGCTGTTCTCATGGTGTCTGCCAGACCCCTTGGAGAACTGGAGATGGACGTCTATCCCCATTCTCCTCTCCCCTTGCAGACTGATTTGGGGTTGGGCCTGCTCCTGACTTCTCTGAGTAGCCACCCCCTCCACCTCACCTTCATTTGATCCAGGCCTCAGTTTCCACCCGGCCTTGGACTTGGTTTAATCATATTCACCCATGTTCACCACAAGCTGAACACAGACCGATGTGTCCAAAGAGAACCCCGACCCCTCCCAGAACGCATCCTCCGTTTGGGATTCCTGATGTTGGTGAAAGGCACCACCAGGTATCTGCTCACTGGGTGAGTCCTGTTGGTCCCAGAACTGCAGCTTATGTCACTGCAATTTACTCACCTGTCTTCCTGTTCCCCAGGAAAATGATCACACCTGTATCTAGGGGTCACCCTTGTCATTCTTTGACACTGTCTCTTTCCCATGCGCTGTGCTTAGTGGGGGTGGCCCATGGGCCGTGTCAGCCATTGCTTGCTCAAGCCAAAGGCTGGATGAACAAGTGACTATCACAAAGCCAACAGGGGCCCAATCTGGAAACTTGGCTGCATTCAATTCCAGTTGTTCCAAAAGATTGGATTGATTTAATAGGAATGCTTCCTAACGCGTGAACAATTATTATTGTTTTAAATTAGCAAGAATAAAATTCCACCATCTTTCTCCCAGAAGCTGCTTCCAGAGAGGCCAAGCTGTAAATTCACAGCACCCGCGAGGGGCTAGATAAACAGCCAACTGAGCGGCAAGGAAGCTCCGCAACCGAAAACATCTCCAATTCATAGATTCCCTTACGGGAAGGGGAGGCTGCTGAAGAGCCAGGAGGAATTCTTTTTCCTTCTCATTTTAAAAGGGAATCTTCTCATTTGTTCCTGCCCTTCCTTCTGGCTTCATAAGAGACACCTGAGGTTGAGCGTGCTTGGCTGACAAAGAGGGACTCAAGACATACGTTGAACTAAGTGAGGCAGCTAGTGGTATCATCGCAAGAGCCTGCAGCACTGTGTCATTGTGTCATTGTATAGGGGTGTAGTGTGTGCCATCTCAGTCCCACCCTTCCCTTCCTTCATGACATCACTGCTGTGGCTTTTTTCCAGCCACAAGACCAGGCTTCACTTCCCAGCCAATGAGGTAAGGCTCACTCCCAGCTCCACCCCATCCATTCCGTGAGCCTGGCCAGCCCTGGCCCCTCTCTGGGCCTCAGTTTTCCCATCTGCCCCATGAGCCCTGGCTGTGAAGTTCTCAAATGATAGTGGCCCCTCTGTTTGTGAGACCTTGTCATAGAGTCACCCCCTAAATTCTTAGTGCTCACTGGAAGAAACAGACCAAGTCCTGAGCAGCCGCCCCCGGCCAGGCTAGTAAAGCACATCCCAGGACCCCAGGGCAGAAGAAGCAAGTGGGACCATCCATGTGATCCTGATGGGCTCTGGAGGTGTGGAGCATGCTGGAGTCAGGTTCTGCTGTGGCTCGGCATTTGTTCACTGCAGCAAATTCCATCCTCACCAAGCACCTTCACTTGCTCCGGGTGTGCCTGAGCTCCATCCATCATTTATTCATCTGTCAGATTGTACTGGCTCCTTTCCACATTCCAGCACCTGAGCTGGATACTGATGCAACAAGGATGAACAAGGCCCCGCTCTGGGCATGAGGAGTAAGGGGAGACACAGGAACATGAACAGGTCATGCGAATGCACTGTTACAAGTGGAAGCTGGAGACAGCTTCAAGGTGGTAGCAGGTAGGAAGGGTTCCTAACTGAGTGTGGACAAAGAGATCTCAGGCATGGAGTCAGCTGACCTGAGGCTTAGGTGAAGGCTAGGAGCTCCCAGCTGGAGAAGGAGCACCAATTCTTGGCAGAAGGACATGCACACACCCCTTCCCCCAGCTGCAGCTTCATTGGTCATTCCTGATCACATTTTTCCTCTGCAAACATTCCCAGCTCATGCACCCATCTCAGCACCCTCACCTCCCCCACCACCCCAGCTCCCCTGCCCTGTCTTGCCCTTCCTCCCCAGTGGTCCTTGCTTGGGCTGGGGTAGTCGGGTTGCACATGTGTGTTTGAATATGCCGGCCAGCATTGCTTGTGGTCTCATAATTGAGTCTCCCCAGGAATGGAGAGACGTGGGAACTGAGCTCCTGGAGCTGATGGACCAGAGAGGGGTGGGGCAGGGAAAAGAAGGACCCTGAGAACCAGCCAACTGTGGTGCAGCCCCCAGGGCTCTGGGAAACCAGACGGGAACAGGATTCCCCAAATCAAGGAAGAGTCTAGGCAAGGCCAGGGCGCCTTGGGCTGCTGAGTGTCCTGTTGTTGGGAGAGAGGTTGGGCCCTGCCAGCCCTTGGCCTCCTCCTCTCCCACTTACCCTGCCCTCAAGGCCAGGACCAAGGCCCACAAAGTCCTTATGCTGACCTGGCTGCCCCACCGTGGGGAGAAGTCCCCACTGCCCTGGACCAGTCCATGCTGCCTGAATCCTGCTGTCCTTGTCACCTGGCTCCAAGCTTACTGCAACAACAGCTGCTGCTGTCCTCACCCCTCCCCTAGCCCTGTCAGGCGCACCCTCTTCCATTTGCCCAGAAGGCCATGGAGGCCACATCATAATGTAGAACAGAATTTTCCTGAACGCTGGGGAGTACTGGGAAGTGACGACAGCACAGGGCAGAATAGGAAACAAAACGGATGGTTCGACGGGGGAGGGACACTGACGCCTGGCTCCTCTCTCAGGCGTGGCATGTGGCCCAGGCCTTGTCCCCACACCAAGGCAGTACCTCTATCCCCCCTTCTTCCTGGATCCCTGTAGCCCCAACCCCTCCTTCTTCTTGAGCTTCTAGGGGAGGACCGCTAGCTTCTGCAGAGAGGGGAGAAGGCAGGGGAAAAGGAGGGAAGGGGAAGAAAAGGGAAGCTCACACCCATGGATTTTATTTCACCAAATCTCCCCCCAGCAGCATGGGAGTACCTATGATCTCTACCTTACAGGCGAGGAGCTTGAGACTCAAAGAGGAAGTGGTGGAGTCCGCTATCTCTCCAGCACTTCATTCCTGGGACACATATTATCCCAGGGCTTCTGGACTCCAAGCTGCCCCATCATGCCGCAGCCAAGGGGCAGAAGCCTGGGAGTGGGGGAACCTCTGAGATCTGGAGCAGCAAGATCTGAGGTCCTGTGTCTCTACCCTTCCAGCTGGCTCCAGCTGGCCGTGACATCTCAGGGAGCTACAGGCCATGGGCACAGTTAGTTCAGGGAGCTTAACAAATGTTTATAAAACCTTTCATACACAGTTAATGATCCTTATTAGGACCTGGAAAAGCAGTCACTCCTGCCATGTCCCGGCTTTAAGGAGCGTTTTATTATTACACGTCACTCCGCAAATTCACGAGAGAAGTCGTGGCCCATTTGTCAGCAGGGCCAACGCCCGGGGATGCTGACAAGAAGCCTCTGTCCTGGGACTGACTGGGCCAGATTTCTGGCTCCACTTGCCCTCCCTGCCACCCCCACATGCCCATCACCCTCAAGCTGCCAGTGCACCAGCTGCCTTCCCTGAAAAGTCCCACCTTGAGGCTGGCTGTGTCCCCAGAACCCTGTGCCTGGGACCTGAGTCAGGCAAGGCCTGGGGCAAGGTACCTCCCTGTCCTGGGCAGGGAGGGGAGGCCTTAAAGGGAATCCAGATGCCTAGGCCCCAGACCCAAGTCTAAATTATTGACCAGGTGCCCAGCTGGTCTGAAGATCTATATTTGGGAGCCACAGTGCCTGAGACATGAGCCTCTGACGCCTGCATGCCAAGGCTGGCTCTGCCCATGACTGTGTGACTTTAGGCAAATCTCTCCACTTTTCTTCAGTATCCCCACCTGTAGAATGGGCAAATCATATCTACCTCCAAATGGTTTTTGTGAATATGATATCATTTTATGTGAGCAAAGGGTGTGTCGTGATGACACGGCCAAACCTGCCTCTGCTGTTGGAATGGTGGAATCCCAGCATTCGGAGCAGGAAACCACCGAGGTCTGGGTGAGAAGCAGGAGGCAGTGGAACTAAACAGGGTAATGGTTGCACAACCTTGTGGCTGTATGAATTGCCACTCAATTGTACATTTAAAAATGGTTTACGTTATGTGAATTTCACCTGAAAACAAAAAGCCAAACCAATCAAGTTCCTTCCCACCTTAAAAATGACATGCCTACCAGGCTCTGAGCCTGGGTGTGGCTATTCCCTCTGCCCACTCACATTTTAGGGTTCATTGAAAATCATTTCCTCCAGGGCTCCCGCCAGGAGGTGCCCCCTAATGTGCTATGTCCCCATCCCCGGGAGAGGGCAGCACCCTCGCTAAACAATAGGCTGGGGGAGGGGGATCCTATCTGCAGCTGTCCCTCATCTGGCACATAGTAAGTGCTCAATATTTGCTCATGGAATGGAAGATTTCACTTTAAATCAGCCCTAGTTTCAGGAACAAAAAGCAGGGCAGCCCTGCCCCAGTTGCACAATTGGTAGAGGAGCGGGGGGCCAGGCCTGTCCCACCCCTGGAAGAGGCCCCTGCCTTCCTATTCCCTGTCAGCAGCTTCCCCTGGGTGGGAAGCACAGCCCAGACATTGAGCCTCTCCTTCCCAGCCATCAGCTAATCTGCCCCCCGCCAGCCAGCATGCCAGGGCCCCTGTCTGCCCTTCCTGTTTCCCCAGGACACTGCTGTTTACATGGTCAAGGGCTTATCACACACAGGCAGGCAAAGGCCCATACTAGGAAACCTTGTCCTCAGCATCTCCTGACACTCCAAGGTTTTGACTGTTTGAGCCTTTCGCTTCTAAGTGCTCCTGCTGGAAACCGCTCACATGCAGGGCCTCAGTTTCCCCAACCCTAACATAAACAGATGAACAACGACTTATTGATTTAACACCACTGTGGAGTGATGTGGCTAAGGGGTGGGCTTTGTATTCCAAACTCCTGGGTCTGAATTCCAGCTCTGGTCCTCACTGTGTGAAGCTGAGCCAGTGATTTCACTAAGACTGCCTCGTTTCCTCTTCATGAAATGGATATGATTCCAGTACTCACTCTCCAGTTCTGTAGCACTTTGCTGTACCTAGCACCGTGCCCAGAGCATTATAAGCACTTACGGCTGTGAGCTATGACTTTCAGAGGTCCTTCCCTTATCCTCACGACTCAGATCCTTCACTTCTTCCCTTACAAAGTGGAGGAGAGGAGCAATTTTGTGCACTCACCAATGGGTGACTGCAGCCCTTGGCCAACACTGGTCACCAGAACAGCCAGAATAGCCCTGGCTCTGGCATCTTTCAGCCACTTTGACCTTGGATGCATCATGAAAACAAAAAAGGGAATTTACAGAGGAAGAAGCAGAGATCCAGAAAAGACTGAAGCTTCCCTCACTCACCCAGTTATGCAGAAGTGGCCTGCAGGTGGAAAGAGAATCCACCCCTGGAGTAGGAGTAGGGTCCGGGCTCTGCCTGTGTGGTCTTGGGCCAATCACTGCCCTCCCTTAGCCTCTGTCTTCCCAGCCATAAAATGGGTACATTAATCCCTACCCAGCCTAACCCCCAGAAGGCACACAGTGAACATGAGAGAGGGGCTGTGAGCGGCACCCTCAGGCAAGTGGGCAGGACAAGGCACCTGCCAAGTACCAGGTATCAGCCTCACTCCAAGGACAGATGCTCAAAGTGATGTGGCTCCAGCTATGACCTCTCTGGGGACCCCAAGATGAATCACTTGATTGGCAGCTCCATTTGGCTGTCCATAAGGCATTTCAGAAACAGCCAGACCAAAGCATAACTCTGTCTTTCCACCCAAACCTCCAACTCCTCTCCCGGTGAACACTACTCCCGCCGTCCACCCAGTGGCTCAAGGTCACGATCCTGTACGTTGTCCTCAAATACCCTCTTGCCCTCCCCTCCTACACCCATCCTTTCAGCAAGACCTATCAACTCTGCCCTGGAGACACACCCCAAAGCCACTTCTCTCTAAGCCCACTGCCCACAACCAGGGCCAAGCGGCAGCCACTAAATCTGGATTGTGCGAGAGGGGCCTAACTTCCCTTCCAACTGCAACTCTGGGGCCCCCACCTTCCATTACTTCGAAGAGTCATTGGATCCCATCACTTATCTGTTTTAAACCCTCTGAAGTATCCTTATCTGGCTGGAATAAAACATAAGCCCCCTACCTGCCTTACAAAGCCACGCACAATCCAACGGCTGGCTTGGCTCCACCCCTCCCTCTTCCCCCATTTAGGCATACAGCCCTCTTCCTTCCCTCCAGTGGGCCAAATTCTCTCCCTTCTGTGTCTTCTTCCCCTGGTCTCCATCATTCAGATCTCAAATTAAAGTGTCCCCTCCTCAGAGAGGCCCAACTGCCCCACTAGTTTCCTTATTCACAACTCAGTAATGCACCAGATTCCTTCAGTGCTCTGCAGGGAGGTTGCTCCCATCTGCCATTGTGTGCCCACTTTGTTTCCTCTCTTGCTTCCCACAATACGGACGGCAAGAAACTTACTCCTATGACTCCTTGCTGCATCCCAGCATGAGCAGAGCCTGGCACATAGAAGGTGCTCAGGAAATATTCGCTGACTGAATGAATGAGGGAATCAATGGGTGAATGCAATACAGCTTCAAAAAGCCTGCCTCGATACAAAGTTTTACCTGAGAGAGGCCTTTTAATCTGCAACTCCTCAGGAGCTAGGACGGGGTCTGACTCACATCTGGGTGCCCACCACAGAGCATGGGGCTTAGTACAGGGTTGGCACTTCGTAAAGGTCTGTCCATTATCTATGTAGGCAACTAACAAAGACCATGCCAGGCTTGGGAAATAGTGAGTAGGATGAGCTACCTATGCTCTGGGAGCTTGCAACCCAAATGGAGAGAGAAAAAGGATCACACAGCAAGCCAATGGCTTAATGGAGATAGATATAAAATGTGCAATGGGATCATAGAATAAGCAAAATACATCAAGTCATAAAGTGACATATACAGTGGAATACCATTTACATAAAAGTTAAAAGTTTAAACCTGAACAACAACACTGTATGTTGTTTATGAACACAAAAATACATGGTTAAAAAATAAAAACATGCATAAGAAGAAAGGCACCATCTCTGCAGAAGGAGGAAGAGGATTAGAATTGTGGAGGCCACATATGGGGCCACAATCTTATCTATAGTATTTTATTTCTTGAAAAGAAAAATCTGAAATAGATATGGCACAATATTAGGATAAGAAAGAGCTCACTGGGACATCCATAGTTGTTTGTTATACTAGTAGTCTATGGGTTTGAAATACTCCAAGATCACCTTGTATTAATGCAACGTGACTACAGAAAAAGCACCCTATCTGTTGAATGAGTGTCTGATGTGTGGCTGACTTAGTGGATGGATAGATGATGGTAAAAAGGACAGATGCATGCATGCCTGGGTGGATGGAAGGATGGATGGGTGGATAGATAGATGGATCCATAAAAGAACGGATGGATGAATGGTATATGGCTGGATGGGTGTTGGGTGGATAGATAGGTGAATGGATGGGTGGATTCATGAGTGGGTGGATCAAATGGATGAGTGGTAGAAACGGTGCTAGCAATTCTCAAAACTTACCGTACTCCTTCCACATTTGTTGAGTACTTAACCACATGTCAAGCTCTATGCTAGGCCCTGGCATAGTGCACACAGGATTCGGACAAATCCCTTCCCCATAGGAGCTCAAAGTTGGGGCTGAGATTCAGGTCCAATGGGGAGATGATGTGAAGGGCTACAGTCACAGATGTGTATCCACAGTGAAATGATGGACAAACTCCCATAGGGACTTCTCCATAGAGGAAACAGAGGTTCTTCTGTGTTCTTGAGGGATGGCTTGTTCTTTGGGGAAGAAAGCAAGCCTGGTGTCCCAGGCAGAGGGATACCTGAACTAGGAAGGGAGGAGTGGGGCCATGGAGAGTCTGGGGAAGGGCTACTAGCAAAGGAAGCACAGAGGAGGGAATGGAAAGATGAAGCCAGCAAGAGGAATTGAGGCCTGGATTGCCAAACTGGGAGGCGAGACTTCACTCTTAGGCCAGATGGGTTAAGTCTGACCAATTGTCAGAGTCATCTGATTGGACAATAAAGGGGTTAGGCCCAGGAATCTGAATGGATCCAAGTCTATGCTCACCCTCAGCCAGGCCCCCTACTCCACCCCACTCTCATTACTGGCTCAGGGTGGCTTGGTCCCTATGGGCAGGAGCCCTTTCCATGGTGCCTGCATGTGTTCACTCCATGCTAGGCTCAGCAGCCCCAAGTGCCTAAGTGTGGGTGCCAGGGCCTGGCAGGGGAGGGAGGTGGGAAGCCCATGTGCATGTCTGCACACTGACCCTGATGGCAGCACGCTTTTGTTGTTGTTGTTGTTGTTGTTGTTGTTTTATCTCACCAAACAATTCTCCAACAAGAATTTTATTGCTCAGCACAGGCTCCCAGCTAACTAGGAGAGCATTTTTCTAATTACATTTCCCTTGAAATACACCCGGGTTTGAGTTAACACCTCTTCAGTCTGCCAAAACCTAAGTCATTTTAAAATTAGTTCTGGAGGTTTTGCAAAAAATCCCACCGGGATGCAGCATTCCTTTCCCACCAAGTTGTGTACTGAAAACTCTCCCCAGATGCCAAGAGCTGCTTGCCTTGGAGACTACGTGCAGAGGGCCCAGGGAAAGGCCCACATCCTGGCCCCACAGGCTCTCCTCTTTCTCAGGTCTGTTGAACAGCCCTTGCAATGCTACAAGATCGATAGAATCATAAATGCATTTTGCTCTAAGCAGTCTTTCTGATACTCTTTAAAAACCACATGGATGGGAGGGAAATGTGATCCATATGGTTTTGAATCATTAACACTTAAATCGTCAAAACAGAGAGTTATTTTCCAGTAGAAATTTCATATCCAAGGCACCGTTAGTGGCTCTTTAATAAACTGTTTAAAATTCTGTTGTTCCCCCTAAAACATGCAAGCACATGCCACATATGCAGCACACATATGCATACCCCACTAACTCTGAGATGGCATCATTGGGAAACACAGCCCATTAAGCACATCTATCCCCAAGACAGGGATGGGCTAAAAGCCCTCTTGAGGCATCTTCTGAGCACTGGTGGTGAATGAAATCTACTCTGTTCAATTATTCAGGCTGAGGAGTTCCATAGAGCTTTGAGCTCATCTGGATAAGCCCCTTGATGGTACAGATGAGAAAGCTGAGGCCCAAAGAAGGTGCAGACTCTTGAAGGGTTGGTAGAAGTCACAGGAGAGTATGTCAGGGTGATGAAACCACATGGACAAAGTGCCCACTGCCATTACCCCCATTGCCTAAATGGTAGGGTGTGAGGTAGGGATCTGGGCAGGAGAGAGAGGCTAGTGACTGGTCATAGAGCACATTCCAGGGCCCCCCATAGCCTGAGTAATTAAACTCCCTGCTTTAGCCTGCAAAGTTGTGGAGAGAGGACTATCATTTTCATGAAATGCAGATCAGATCCTAACTCTTGACACAGTGACAGGGATGGCACGGAATAATAGGGTGATCAGTTAAAAGATCATTGCAGGACCTCTTAGGAGAAATAATGATTACATAGGCTTGAGGCAGAAAGGAGGAGCTAACCTGAAAGGTATTTTGGAGATAAAATTGATTGGACTAGGGGCCAAATGAGTGCAGCTAGTGATGGAGAAACAGCATCAGGATCGGATTCCTTTCCTACGGCTTCTGTTAAAAAATTACCATAAACATACCAGTTTAAAATATGTAAATTTATTCTCTTACAACGTTCAAGGTCAGAAGTCCAAAATGAGTCTTCCAAGGCTAAAATCAAGGTGTCAGCAGGGCTGGTTCTTTCTGGAGGCTCCAGAGGAGAAACCATTCCTTGTCCCTTCCAGCTTCTGATGTCTGTCAGCACTCCTGGGCTTGTGGCCACATCACCCCAACCTCTTGCTTCCACTGTTGCATCTCTTACTACTCACTCTAACCCTCCTGCCTCCCTCTTATAAGAACCTTATGATGACATCAGGCTCTCCCAGATAATCTCCCCATCTCAAAATCCTAAACTGAATCACATCTGCAAAGTCCCAGGGATTCGGATGTCAAAACCTGGGGCCTGGGGGCATTATTCTACCTACCGCAAGAATGAAACCCAGATTTCTGACTTTTGCAACCAAGTGATGCTTTCACCCAAGGATGGAGGAGGTTGGTGGGAAAGATAATTAGCTTGATATAGGAAACAGTAATTCTAATTAGAAGTCTGGGAGACATCCAGGAGGGGAGCCAGAGTAAGGACTGGTCCAAGAGGACCCAGAACACAGGAGGGAAGTGTAATTAGAGAGTGTGACTTTTAGGTCTTGGGTAACATCAACATAGCTATAATCATAAGATAAAATGAAGCTTTATGTATTTCACATTTATTTCCCTGGCCAAAAAGGGCCAAGGCTAAAGAGAGAGAAGGAGGCATTGATCAAGACTGAGGAGCAAGACAGTTGATCCAAGAAAGGGGAGTGGGAGAGTTGCCAGAGTGGGATCAAGGAGAAAGGGTACAACATCAGATACAGGACAGGGTCAAATGGGATAGGTCAATGATGACCTCAAAGCCATTTGAGAAGAGTGGAAACAAGTGGCAGGATTTGCCAGGGTTTGCCACAAAAGTTCTTAAAGTGCAGACAATGTGAGAGCTTTGTGTGCAGAGGGCAGGGATGGGCAGAGGCTGGTGCTGCAGAAGAGAGAGGGACTTACTGCTAGAGCCAGGTCTCAGAGGGGTCGGGACAGCACAGGAGGAAGGGAAAGGGGGATGTTGGTCCTTCTCTTTTCCCAGGAGGAGAGAGAAGAGAAAAGGGAGCATCAATGATCAAGCGTTTGAAGATGGAAAGAAGAGAAGGTCACCTAGATATTGTACAAAATCAGGAGACGAGGTCATTGATGAGAATGGGACTGAGAACAGCTAGAGGTGATTGTCAGGCTGTGAGACAGAAGAAAAGTCCCTGGAGTGGCTCCATGCAGAACCCATCTTCCCCTCCCACTACCTCCATGAACCCTCTGGCTGGTAGTCCCAGCTCTCACTCCTTTGTACTTTCCAAGGTATGAGGCTGAAAAAAATGGAGATTCCCTGCTGGCCGGAGCATGATCTCCTCTGCCTTCCTTCTTTGTTCTCCTGTGACAGGGCCCTTAGGTCGAAAAGAAGCAGCTGATTAGACATGAGGGAGCAGAGGAGGCGGGACCTAAGAGCAGTCACATGTGAACATGAACTTGAACTTGAATGAGAGCCCCTTCCCCCTGCCCTCACCCAGGAACCTCAACCTTGGCCTTCCTCAGACTTGCCTTAACCAGCTCTCAGTGCTCTGTGTGATCTTGTCCAACTCCCTCCCCATCTCTGGGCCCCCTGTTGAAATGAGAGACTTGGAGCAATGACTACTAAGAGCCTTGCAGCCTCCTAAGCACAACCTTGGATGTGGAAGAGCTGTCTGAGTTGTTGCAGGGAGCCCCAGCCTCTTTGGAGAAGGGCCCAGGACTCTGTCATTTCATAAACATGATGCAGGCCTGTTTGGTGCTGCATAGCTGTGGTTTTCTGTTTTCCCCAGCAGTAGCTACAAGGCCTGGGCTACAGCAGAGACAGCCCAGCAGGGAGGGAGAGGGTGGTGGAGCGGAGGGCAGGAGAGAGAGTGCTTCTCTGTGCTGCCTCCTCTGCTTGGCTCAGAAAGTGTGCAGAAGTGAGAAAAACATGCAGGCAAGTTAGGCAGACCCTTCCTCCACCTCCACCCACCCATCCCAAAGAAAGTGGTACTTTCTAGCTGCTTTTGTAAAATAAAAAACACATTCTCCTGGTTGGCCTTCCTCTGCTTTGGAGCATGCAACATGCATACCAACATGCAGCTCTAGTAAACTTAGCCTTGGGCAGGTTTAGAGGGAAGAAGAGCGCCCCAGGGATGAGATGGGGGTGAATGTGGAAGCCATCTGCAGAAGCACCAACAGACCTGCCAGATGAGCCCGTTATTTGTGTATACTTCAACCTGCCCAGACCCTCGCTGGGGCCTGGCCCACAGTAGGCCCAGATAACCCTGTGCTTATTAAGCCACATAGAATGGAACCTGGGGAGAATACAAGGTCATCATTGGAGAGAAGAGATGGCCATGAAGGGTGTGGCAATGTGACTGATGCCCCACTCAGAGCCCCTTGCCTGGACATGAGGATCCATCACCCAGGTGTTGCAGGATGGGGTGTGCGGCCAACAATACACACCACACTTTCTCAAGCCAAGGGGAGCAGTCTTGTCCAAGGATGCCTGAAATTTGCCCACCCCTCCGAAGGTCAGCCCCCTGCCCGTGACTTACTGATGGTGGAGTGTAAGTTCCAGTGCTCTTGCTTCACGATGGGACAAATCTTCAGTGCAATTCCCCCTCCTGAGCTCCCTGTGGGATGAGACGAAGGCTGCACTTTGCACCTCTGCTTAGCTCTTTCCCCTCCCCTATCCTGCTTCTCTCACTGTCTCTGGAGAATTCCCCTCAATGCACCACTTGTACTGGAATCCCTGCTTCAGCTCCTGTTTCTGGTGAACCTGACCTAAGATACCAAGGAGAGCCTTCTAGGCAAGACCCAGCTTGGGAACAGCCTTTCCTACCTAAAGCTACAGGGGTTACCAGGCTGCTCCCCAGCAGCAGGAGAGAGCAGAGGCTGTTTTGCAGGGCCAGAGTTTATTGGTGCAGCTCTGCACACTCAGGAAGGCTGGTGTGCTGCACCACGGCAGTAGCAGACAAAACCAGAACACAGTCCAGCTCCTAGAAGCCTCAGAGGACACCCAAAGCTGCAGGACACCAAGCTCCATTCCAGCTCAAGCACTGCTGACCAGTTTGGCCTGGTTGGTTGGGGACGAGCTCAGACAGAGATGAGGCCTGCAGACAACTCAGGCCAGAGCATCACAAGGCGAGAAAACTGGGCTCCAGGACAAGGGCAGAAGGGCCCTGAGCCCCTCGTGGCCAAAGACCTTACCAATACCACAAAGCCCTTACCTGGGTGGCATCAGAGCTACAAAACAATACAAAAAAATTACAACAAAGGCAAAAGCAATTGTAACAGTAACTGTGATATATATAGCAGGTCAAATGCCAATTCTGGGTAAAGCCTGCTGCTAGCCTATGGCATACAATTGCTTTTATTTAATTCTTCCGCCTTAGTGCATAGGTATAATCTCCATTTTAGATAAAATGGCACACATGAGTAGCACATATGTGCTTCCATGCAATCAGGAAAGTATATATGTCCACACGCTGTTGTTTCAATTGGCTGTTTAAAAATGAATACAAGCTGGGCATAGTGGCCCAGGGCCATAATCCCAGAACTTTAGGAGGCTGAGGAGGGTGGATTACTTGAGCCCAGGAGTTCAAGACCAACCTAGCCAGCATGATGAAACCCTGTCTCTACTAAAAATACAAAAATTAGCTGGGTGTAGTGGTGTGCACCTATAATCTCAGCTACTCAGGAGGCTGAGGCAGGAGAATCACTTGAACCCAGGAGGTGGAGGTTGCAGTGAGCCAAGACTGCACTATTTCACTTCAGCCTGGGTGATGGAGTTAGACTCTGTCTCAAAAAAAAGAAAAAAAAAAAGGAATGCAGACTGTCCATGTCCAAGGACCTGCTTATTAAGGATGCTGCCTTAGGTGACAGGCAAGAAAGCCCCACCGCCTTTCCAGGTCTGACTCTCCGTGTCTGATTCAAATGCCTCGCCCTCCCCTGCCAGCCCAGCAGCCGCTGCCCTGCAGGACAGAGCAGGCAGAGTGAGCACCAGGATGTAAACACCCTCCTGCCAGGTCCATCAGATCTGCTCAGCTGCAGCCTCTCCCCTCTCTCAGGAGCGAGCTGAGCCGGATTCTAGAGCTGCACCAGGGAACAGCTGCATCAGAAACCAGGGCTGCTTGGCTATTTCCCAATTCCTATTTATGTTGGGAGAAACAAATTCCCCTGAGGCAGTGACCTCTGATGTGCACCTGTGAGTACAACCTTGAGGGTGTCAGGCTGGGGGTACTCAGATGTTTCTGAGGACACCAGACACCTTCAGATATTTCCAGAGCTGCCCACACCCTGTGTCTCCAGGCTGTGAGCTCAGCCCTCAACTCCTTATTCTGAAGGACCCTTGAGAGATGCTGTTGGTCTCCCTGAAGCTTCTGGGACACCTGGCCTTAGCCCAAGGCTCCTGAGCTCAAAGCACCGAATTTGGAGTCCACAGACCAGGGTACATAGGGTCCTGGTCTCTATGGGAAGGAAGATCCAAGTCTCTGCAGCTCTGGGGAACACCTGCACTAACCCCAAGGAAAAGGAAAAGTCTCAGTCTCCTCCTCTGTGCATGGGTCAGCATCACAGGTTAGGCTGTGTGACAAATAAGTCCCCACATTGCAGGGCCTTCCCAGGATGCTCTCTCCTCACTCAAATAAAGGCATGCCCAGGCAGGCTGCCCTCCTTCATTGTGTGGCTTTGACCTCCAAGGCCACTGCAGAGCTGGGGAGAACAGGATGGAGGAGGTACACATCTCTTAGCTGCCTGGCCTCGGGGGCACATCCAGATTTTGTGGTTCTGAAACTTGCACAATTTGGGGGGCCCTTTCTTCTTTTTTTTTTTTAGACAGAGTCTTGCTCTGTCACCCAGGCTGGAGTGCAGTGGCACGATCTCGGCTCACTGCAAGCTCCGTCTCCCGGGTTCATGCCATTCTCCTACCTCAGCCTCCCAAGTAGCTGGGACTACAGGCGCCCGCCACCACGCCCGGCTAATTTTTTGTATTATTAGTAGAGACAGGGTTTCACCGTGTTAGCCAGGATGGTCTCAATCTCCTGACCTCGTGATCCGCCTGCCTCGGCCTCCCAGAGTGCTGAGATTACAGGCATGAGCCACCGCGCCTGGCCTGGGAGGCCCTTTCTATGAAAAGTTGGAGAAAATTCTAAATGTAAAATGCCCATAGCAGCTCACACACCACTGTACACAAAAATTATAAATACAAAATATCCATGGCCTCCCAAAGGGAGGGGCTGGGGAAGTGGGCACCCTGGAGCCCATGCCCCATTAGCTTCGAGGTAAATGGCCCCTGCTGGGCCTGGAAGGGACACATCCCCATTGCTCACAGTCCATTGGCCAGACCAGTCACCTGGGCCCGGTCTCAGCACAGGAGGCTGGGAAGTGTGAGGGAGCCCATGGCTCCTGTGAGCACTAACCACCTCCAGCACAGCACACTGTGCTCAGACAGCTGCGTGATGCAGGGCCACGGAGTGGAGGTGGACGCCCTATGCAAATGTGGAAGAGCAGCATGAACCATGCCTTGGCCAAAGCACCTCCCAAGGATAGCATGACAAAGGGTGGGGCATGGCAGCTGTACCCAGCCCAGACGTCAGGAGAGTTGGCTCTAGTTCCAAAGCTGTTCTTTCTCAACAGTGAGGACCCCAGTGACTCACTCAACCCTCCTGCACCTCACTGGCCCCATTGCCCATGTATGTAAACTGATCCTGCCATTCCAAGGTGAAAGTAAGATTGTCTACAAATGCTTTGCAGATATAGCCCAGTGCTGTGCAGTAGTGAGCCACTTTGTGATTCTCTTTAACAAGGCAGTCTGTCATTCTTCCTTACAGTCACCCAAAATCCAGTAATACCATGTCCCAGATGCTCTGCCCATGGGCCTTAGGGCTGCCTCAGGTATGGAGGCAATGGTGAAAGCCCCAGGTTCCTCTTCTGCAGGCTATCTTTTCTTGCCCCATCTGCATCCCCAGCCCCCAGGAGACAGACCAGGACAAGCAGATCACTCTCAGATACTGCATGAACTTACCAGATCGTCTGGGAGGACTCTAGAATATTCACTCAAGTGCTCCCTATAAGTTAGCTTATCTATCCATCGGTGCTGGAAACGCCTCCAATGGGCACTGGTGGGACAGTCAGAAAGTAGCTGCTCAGCTATTATTGGCTGCATCCCAACCCCCATGCTGCCGATAGACTGTTTTTAAATAGTCATAGCCTCTAACCCTCTCACTCTAGAATGTCATACCACATCATATAAACACATCAGAATGCATCCACATCTCACGCAAGTATCATTTACACCTAACTTCATAGGAGCTGGAGTGAGTTGAATTTAACAAGTTGACATGATGTGATGTTATGCACATATTCAATTAAACATTAATTTTGATTTTGCAGTCATTTTGTGGAGTTGATCATTTCATTCTCGGCTATCAAATATTCTTCAAAAGACTGTAATCCATAAGCCCTGGGCTTGAGATGTCCATGGAAAAACCAGCCCCTGGACAACCCCCTTCCTGGTGTGAACAGCCAGGCTTTGCTGTCTTTTCAGAGGACGCAGCTGCTGTGGCGACCACTCATCTGTGCCAGCCCCAGCACAGGATGCTCCTGCTTCTCAAGTTAGGGCTTAACCTCTTTCTTGCCCCACATGAGGAGCTGAGGGTCAAGTGAGGGGCCGGGGAACCATGGGACTTGCTAGATCCTGTGACCAGAGCAGAGAAGGGAGGAGGAAAGTTGCAGGCAGTAAAGGGATCATCCAGGAGCACAACGAGAACACTGCCTTGACCAAAGTCACAGGCTAGCAGTGGCATGGCCCTAAGTTCTCTGAGCCTCAGGTTCCCCATCTGCAAGTGAGCAAGTGAGGATGGGGAGGGGAGCCCTCTACAGTCTCCTCCTTACTCTACAGATCTAAAGAGCTTCGATGTTATAGTGGAATGTTTATTCTGGTACATTCTGCTGCAGGACTAATAGGGTCAACACAAGTAAATGGGTATTTTTATCCTGGAAAAGGCATCATCATGTATGAGTTGCAGGTGTGCAAATGGATGGTGGGCATGGGTCTGTGCATTTGCTTGTGATGTGTGTGAATCCTGAAGCACAGGTGTACATCGACATTGTGTATCATGCTGTGTCTATATTGTGTAAATATAGACGTATTTGTTTGTGCCATATGTGCATTGTGCATTTGTATGTGTGTGAGTATGTATGTACACACATAGCGAGAGCCAGGTGAGAAGGGATGGCACTCGTGGATCCTGGCTGTTGCTATTTACCTGCCGGGTCCCTGCTTCCCCAGAACCCTTTATTTCCTTCTGGAAGGTGTTCCCATTGTAAGCCATCACACTGAGCTGCCATGCCAGGCACTCAGTGACTGCCATTAGGCACCAAACATGCATGAGTTACACCCTACAAATGTCTTTCCCTCCATCTTCCTCTCTTGACTCCCACGTAAAACCTGTGAGGTCAGTATTATCCCTCCCATTTTGCAGATGAACCAACTGAGGCTCTGACAGAGACTGATATGTGAGAGCAGAAACTATGGGTGCAAGACCTTCCTGCTGCTCACAGGACAAGTTGAGTGGGTCCTTATGGGCATGGCTCTACTTCTGGACACAGCTTTCTCTGACTTCTTCCCTGGCCCATCGAGATCCAAGGTCAGGCAGGAGCCAAGGTCAGCCTGGGGTGCCAGGCAGGGCTGATGGGCAGCAGCTCCACTCTATAGCTGATGGGGATGGCGTAGAGCCAATGTGTTGGGTAAGTCGGGCTGCCGAGGGCCGCAGACGTGTCGGGTCTCGCCTCAGCCCACTGCTCCCTGGGATTAGCAGCTGCAGTCATGAAGCCAGGGAGCCATCTCCTCAGAGCAGCTGGGCAGGGCAGGACAGGGCGGGGGTGAGGGAGCCACTCCTGGGTGGGAAGAGTTTCGAGTGGCCAGGTGCCAGGCCACCCAGGGTCATTGGCGCCATCCCCAGGACCTGCCCAAGTTGGGGCACCACTGGTTGGCTGAGTCTGTTACCACCAGCTGACCTGGCAGCACACCCATCACCTTGCCCCCTCCTCACAGCACTCCCACGCAGGGGCTTTTATGACTGCTTTGTGGATAAGAAAACTGAAGCCCGTGGAAATGAAGTGACTAGCTCTAACGCGCACCATGAGTTGGAATCAGCAGAAGACCCAAGCTCTGATTCCAACTACGTCCCAGCGGAGCCCTTAATAAGGTGGTTATTTGGGCATCTACGGTGTGCCAAGAACTGCACCAAGTACATCTCAGTAGGATCTCATTAAAGACCCAACAACCCAATGAAGTAGAGAGCATCACCTCCATTTGGGAAAAAAAGGAAACAGCCTCAGGGAGGTTAATTTGCTTGCCCAAGGTCACAGAATTAGAAACTGGCAGAGTTGAATCCAAACCCAGATATGACTGCCTCAATGACCTTCCTAAAATACACATCTGACCAGGCTTGGCCTCTGCTTCCCACTGCTCCCTGGTGCCTCAAGGACCACAGGCTAAAACCCAAGAGCCTTCACCTGGCATTCAAGGCCCTCCTCACTCAGGCCCACCTTGCCCTTCCAGCCGATTCCCTCACATTGCTCCTTCTCCAGCCCCCACCCCCTGCAGCCTTGAACATGCTACGTATTTGCAGAACTCTGGCCTGGCAGCACCTGGTCCGTGTGCCAGAAATGCTCTTCACCCTCTTCTCTGCCCCTCAAATTCCCATGCCACACAGTGGAATCAGAGAAAGTGTTCTAGAGAGGTGACATTTGAGTTGGAGTCAGTTAATCCTCTGGATTCATGAAACAACTTTCACATTCACTACAGCATGATATTGCTGAGGAGATGCCGGTGTTTATTTGAATAGCTGGTCACCAGACTGAGAACACTTTCAGGGCAGGGATCATGAACTATTTATCACTGTATCCTAGCAACTGACACAAGGTCTGGCCCAGAGCAAGTACTCACCTAGATGATCATGGGGATGGATGGATGGATGGATGGATGGATGGATGGATGGACGGATGGACGGACGGATGGATAGATGGCTTGATTGGAGGATAGATAAATTAATAGAGGGATGGATGAGGTTGGAAGGATGGAAGAAGAAGGAATGGATGAATTATTCATGTCAATAAGCACAAAACTATTCACCACTGACAGAGTATATTGAATGCCCTCTCTACTCTAATCTCAACACATTCAGCCAGTGACTTGAGAAGCTTCTCCTGATTGCATCCTCTACAATTTTTTGTTCTAGGTTGAAAAAGACCTGGCAGGTCCCTCTGGACAAGGGACAGAAAATGTGTCAGATGGGGTGGGAAAAGGACCCCCACCCAGAGTTGCTGAGCTCACATCCTGGAAACCCATGGCTGCACTCTAGGAAGAAGCAGGGCCTGCCCCATCCCCTGAGATGAGCTACGCAGGGAGGAGCCCACAGTTCCATCTTTCCATTAGCTAAGAACTCTTCCACGCCTGACCTCTCCCAGCCCCAAATTCTACTGCCCAAGATAATTGGAGCTGGGCCGGAGCCCAATGCTGCTTCAGCCCCAAAACCAAAACCACACTGGCTTGAGTAAGAGAGGCCTTCGGCTGAGCATCCAGGAGAGCCTGGGGCAAGAAACTTGACCAACACTTGGAGACAGCTGGAGGCAGCCGGGCCACCATCAGGGGGCAGGTTCTGAGAACCAGGGTTCTGAACGTGGGGCAGTGAGTGTGAGTCCTTCTCCAGGAGCACACAGGCTCTTCCTGAGGAGAGGCAGTGGTCCTGGCTTCTCGTTGGGTTCTACCCCACCCCTCAGCTTCTCTACCCACCCTGCAGCCTCACATCTGCAAGTGAGGCCCTGCCAAGTAAACAGCTGCAGCCCACGCTCCAAGGCTCCCCAATCCCCAGCACTACCCACAACAGCCAAAGCCACATCCCATCCGTCCCCCAACATGGGCCCGAGGGAGGGGAAATGCTCATTAATCACAGGGAGACAGCTTCCGGGCAGCCTCGAAGACAGGCCGAGGAGACCGGAGCTGGGAGGAAGCTCCCCACAAGGTCTCAAGGGAGGTCAGGGCTCCCACTCTGACCCAACACAGAATTTATCATCAGCCAGTGGCTTGCCTTCCAGGGCCTGGGGGAGTCCTTGAGAGTCAGCCAGCCCTGGCTGTGGGCCTGGGCATCCGGAGAGAAGAGCTGATGTGTCCCTCTGCCATCACACCTGCAAACTGGGAGAAGAGCTCGGGCACTACCTGTATGCACCACCTAGAGTAAGTCTTCACACTGTGGGGAGGATTCACACTGATGCCCACGCCCTTGCCCTCCATCCCTAGACCCACAGAAGAGAGAGTCAGCTGTGGTCTTTGGCCCAATCTGAGTCACTGGCAGATGGGTGTTATTGAGCTAGTGTGGTGTTTTTAAAAGTGATGCATTTGAATGTCTTTGGGTAGGATGTGCAGTCTTTAGCAAGACACACCCATCCCCACCCTCATTCCTATTCATGCCTTACCTGAAACCCACTCCTTCTTATACTTGTCACCTGCATGGTCTCTTGGGTCAGTCAGGATGGACTAGGTTTTGCTGCAGGAACAGCCAGCCCTCAAATCTCAGCGGCTTAACAAAGCAAATGTCAATTTCTCATTCACGGTACAGGTCAGATCTAGGCTGGCAGGGTCTCTGCGGCATGTGGGCTGCCAGAGGCTCCGTCCCACTGCGTGCTTCCATAATCCTCAAGGCAGGGGAAGAAACATGGCAAGTAATACTCTGCCCCTAGAGCCTCCACTCAGCAGTAACCCTCTTTGATTCTGCTGTCCTTTCATTGGCCAGAACAAATCACATGCCACACCCCTCAGAAGGGGCAGGGAATGGTGATCCCACCATGTGCCCAGAAGAAGAGAGAGCCAATTGGAATATTTGACCAGCCCTAATGTCGACCACGCCCAGGGAGGCAACACCTTGCAGCCCCTGGTAGACTGAGTGAGGCTCAGCCCTGAAAACTGCAGACACACAACGGCGGCCAGAGCAGCTTCAAACCCTCCCACGGACACTCCCTGAGCACTGTGCCAGGCCCTGGGAGCAGGCAGTGAGGAGCAGAGCCCAAACCTCATGCTCTAGGAGGAAAACACATCACAACACACGACACCCTCAGCTGAGTTGTGTCCGAGGGGCTGTTAGATGATTACGTCCTGTGGTGGGGCAGGGAAAACCACCATCTCCGCCATGCTTTCCCTGACCCCCTCGGCAGAGCAGACGGCATTTAGGATGAGCTTGAAGGAAATATAAGTGTCTGTCAAGTGGGTGGGTTGGGGGATGGCCTTAGGAGAAGCTAGTCAGGGGTCTAGCGAAGAGGGGTCTGGGAAGGATGCATGGTGTGGAGCGGCCCGTGTGGAGGAGGACAAGAGGAACAAGAAGGTGAGCTGGAAGGGAGGGCTGGGCCGAGCAAGAGAGAAGGGCCTAAGATGCCTGTGAAGGAGCCTGCTGCTGCTGGATTCTCTCCGGGGGCAATCTTGTGAACTTCCCGAGGGAAAATTCCAGGCTTTAGAGAGGAAAGATGCCCCACTTCATGTGGTGAAAACTGGGTTCCAGAGAGCTTAGTAATTGCCCCAGTTAACACAAATGGATTCTGGTAGAGCTGAGGTTTGAAGTGGAGTCTGTCTGATATATGAGGACACCCACCAGAATTCAGGAACTGGACGCTTCATAGGTGCTTTATCTAATTTCCCCAAAACCACACGCAGTATGCATCACTGTCCCTATTTCACTCACCAGGACCCTGGTGACCAGAGAGGTCATCCAAGACCAAGTGGTTAACAAGCTGGAGGACCTTGGGTAAGGTCGGATTGAGGCCTGGGGTGCCTATCTCTCATGTGAGTGGGTCTATGCAGCCCCAGGGGCCGGGGCTCTTGGAGAAGCCATGGCAGAGAGGAGAGGGCCAAGAGCAATGGTGGGAGGGAGGGCTGACATCTGCCGGGAGCTGGGTTTCCAACCACCCTGCACAGACCAAGGCCTACCTCCTGATCCTCACCCTGCCTATGGCCAATGCCACCCGGTGCCAAAGGATATGGCCTCATCTTGGAGCAGCTGAGCCCTCTGTATCCCACAGGAATGCACCCCACTGTGACATCAGAAGCATTTAGGCCTTCAAAGCTGGAGACATGCCAGCTGACCCCTGACCTCATGGTGTGACCTTAGGTAAGTTCCTTATCCTCTCTGAGACCCATCAGAACACCTGGGGAAAAAGAGCCAAAGGTTTCCAGTGCCTCCTCTCCAAGGTCATGGCATTTCCTGGGTCAGCCAGCAGTGAGGGGCTGGGCTGAGCTGCCCATCTGGGAGACCCAGCAAGAGGCAACAGGAGGCAGCTGAGCAGGAGGTGGGCAGAGCACAGAGCACCTGGGGGACTGCAGCAGGCGTCAGGCCCCTCCATGGGCAAAGGGAAGGGGACAGACCAGTGCTTCTTAAAGCAAATCTCCACCAAGTCTCTCCCAAGTACCAGGCATCTGCTGAGCCCTGGCGGCATCCCCACAAAACTGCGAGGAGGCAGATATCACAGATATCCGCTCTCCTGGTGAAGGAGCCAAGGCTCCCAGAGGATAGAAGTCATGTTCAAGTGGACATGCTAGGACTCGAATCCAGGTTTTCAAACTCCACAGTGCCACCACTTCCCCAGGGGGCAGGGGCAGGACCCCAAGGCCAGGCAGGAACTAGGAGGGGACTCAGGCATGAGGAACTGTCCAAACTCCTGCCTCTGGAATTAGAGAACAAGGCAGAGGCTTCGAATCTCAGAGCAGGTCCAAATCTCCATGTCCCAGCCAGGCCTGGGGCTCCTGAAATTCCTCATCCTGTCATCAGCTCAGGGCACAAGGGCTAGCCGGTGAGAAGAGGCTCATTCTCAAAGAGATCTTCTCTCCTTCCAGGAATCTACACTCTTTGGACCACTGCGCACTCAGGGGGCCCTCCCATGTCGCTTGCACACTGCCAGTAACAGAGGACTCACTCCCTCTGAATGCATTCCACTTGCAATCTTGGTTTCGAGGGAAACATAACCAGGGGTAGGGAGGATTATGCTCCATGGGGAAGTGCTGAGGTGGTCTCCAAAGCACCTGTCCTCTCCAGCCCTCTTCCCTCAGCTTCCAGATAACCAAGCACAATGCCCAGATTGGAAATCATTATCTACTAAAGATATATGCTCCCAGCAAGTGCTAGATCCCAGGGCTGGCTCGTGATTCCCATCTGCCTAACTGGAAAATCATCCACTCTCGAGCGCCCTCACTTCCCCAGCATGGGCTGCTACAGACTTCCACTCTCAGCTCCCTAAGAAGTTTGACTCAGCTTGTGACCTTGGGCCAATCGCTCCCATCCTCCAGGCCTCAGTGTCCACATCTGTCAAACGGAGGAACAACCTCTAAATGTGTTACCTTCCAACTGGCACAGATCTCTGGACTGTCATCTTCTCAATGGGTGGAGATAGACCAGGCCAGCTGGGCCCCTGGCTAAGGCAGGGCTGGAAGCACAGATCCCAGGCCCATCCTGGTGCCCGTTTCATCAGTGCCTGCTTTGTCTGGAGCTCACAGCAAGCAGGTGAGTTCATTTTCCATTAAGGACAATTATCTCTTCATTTGCATATGCTAAATGTGACATTTAAGGGAGCAGTTCTTCCCCACCCCAAACAGGATAAAAGTCCAATGACAGGCAGACAACCTGCGGTTTAGGGCAGAGGTGTAATTGGCTCTTATTAAGGGAAGATGCAGGGAGATACAGGTTTTGAAATGCAAATGACAGCATCACTTCTTCCACTGGGGCTGAACGGGGAATGACAGGGCCAGGCTGGGCACTCTTGCCTGCTCCGTATCTGGGCAAAGAACAGGCCTCCTGAACCACAAAAAAGAGAGAGATAGAAGCTGGACAGAGAGGGGAAGCACATTCTCTTGGGGATAATGGGACGGACCAGCATATCAGCCTCCCCAGCAGCCCTGTCCCCTGCCTCGGGCTGCCATCTTATGCCCACTGCCTCTCCTTGTCCTCTCTGAGTCAACCAGACTCCACTCCCTAAAATAGGGTCTCTTAGCATGTTCGACCCCGGCTCAGAAACCCCCAGCCACAGTTTTAGCTGTAGCTACTGCCAAATTCCAGCCCCACCACAAAGCCAGAAGGCCCTAAGTACCCCACAGCACATTAGGCCTTTGCTAGGCCCTGTGCCTGAGATGCTTCCCCTGCTCACCCACCTGGCAAACTCTCACTCTCACCTCTAACCAGCTCACATAGTGTGTCCTCTCTGAAACCTGCCCCAGTGGCCTCTTTATTCATAGGACTGGACTCCCTGCTGGGTCTGAGAGTCCGTGGAAGCAGGAAAAATTCTGACTCATCTCAATGCAAGTATCTGTTCAGAGCTGGTTCACCAAAGGAGTTCATAAGAATCAATGTGTGCATAAAAGGAAGTATGAGTGGACAGATGGATGGACGGAAAGATGGGAGAATGAATGGGTGGGTGGATGGATGGATGGGAGGGTGGATGGATGGATGGATGGATGGATGGATGGATGGATGAAGGGAGGATGAGTGGGTGGGTGGATGGATGGGTAGATGGATGGATGGGAAGATGGTGTAACCTTACTATAAGGCTCCACCCTGCACTTGCCTTGACAATTACTTACAGTACCTCCTATTCTACAGATGAGGAAAAGTGAGACTGGGTGAGATAGAGACTCTATCCCCTACTCAAGCAGCAGAACCCAGAACACCATTCCTGACTACCCCACTGAAGCTAGATTGCCATCACTTGGCATCAAAGCCCTCCACAATGATGAGAGCCTTCCACCTGGCCACCTTCATCACATGGTGGTCCTGGGTCCTGACATGGCCCTGGCCTCCTAGGCCCCTTCAGATGCAGCCACTGAGTCTGAGGCTGATCTTGAGGATGCTGTTTCCTCTCTTACAGATCACTGAATACTCCACAGATCACTGACACCCACCTGAATACTCCATAAGCAAAGAAAGTGAGGTCAGAGGCCGTTTTGCAGTCAGATACTGAAACCCAGGAGATGAAACACCTGTTCATAACCCTTCATTCCCCCAAACACCCAGAGCTGTCCCGTGCTTTGGGGAACCCAAGGGGAGGGAAGAAGCAGAGAGAGAACAAAGGGGACTCTGGAATCAGTCTGTTCCCCAAACAGTGACCCCAGCCCCCAGCCCTGCCTGCCTCTCTGGAATCACACCTCCTGCCATCTGCCACCTGTCTGCCCCCCGCCACAGCAGGTGCTTGGAGAGCAGAGAGAGCAGGGTTCACTCCCATTTTGTTACTCATGATCTGTGAGACCTTGGGTGAGTCTTTGAACCTGTCAGAGGCTTGGATTCCTCATTTGTGAGTGGGGATGACAGGCCTTTCTCACCTGCTTTCACATCCTATCCACAGGAAAGCTCTGAGCAGGAAGCATGGGCCCAGCCATGCTTTGCTCCTTTCCTCTTTCCTCCCCTTGACCTCTAAGGAGAGAACTCAGAAGGCAAGGACCCCTGCATGAGTGTGCAAAGGGCAAGGATCAGGTCTGAGTCTCTCACTACCTGCCCCCCGCCCCATCTCCAGCACAGCCTCTACACAGAGAAGGAAGTCAGCAAAAATCATGGGGCGCTTCCGCTCCCCAGACATCTGCCAGAGGCACATTCCATAAAAAGCGGGTGTTTAGGATTCTAAACTCTCAGCAGGACACATTAGGACAAATCCAGAGAGCAGAATAGGCATCCAAGAGAAAAATCTGGACCTGATGGTGACCTACGAGCTCCCTTGCTGCCTAATAAGCCAGTGGAATCACTGAATAGAAGGGGCTTCTTATGGTTCCCTTGTTGCCCACACATTAGAATCACCTGGGAGCTCCTAGGACTCCCAATGTCTGATTGTTCCCCCAAATCAATTAAATCAGAACACCTGGGGAGAGGAGCTAGGCATCAGCATGTTTTAGGGTCCCCAGATGATTCCAATATGATGCAAACTTTTCGGCCACTGGGCTATAGGACAAGTTAGTGACTGTGGGCAGCCAGCCAAGATTTGACCTCGTTCAGAGTGCGTTCTTATCCCTCGCCCCATCTGGTCCTCATCTGTCAGCTCAGGGGCCACATTATTACACCCACTGTACAGATGAGGAAAGTGAAACCTAGGATGTTGCCATGTCTCCTAAGACAATCAGAGATGGAGCTGCAACTGTTGGGGAAGAGAGCCCAATCCCTGGACCCTCAAAGTTGGGCTCTTCCTACACTGACACAGCCACAGTAGGCCCTTGGAGATCATCACAAAGAGACCAGGACCCTAACTTCCCAGCCTTTCCTGGGAGAAGGCTCTGATGGTGGTGGGGAGAGCAGAGAAGGAGGGTGCGTGAGGAAGACAGGGAATAGGGGCTGCAGGCTGGATATAGGCCAGCATGCTGGGCCAATTCGCGCCTGGTCCTCCGTAGGCTCTGGCTCCAACCCAGCAACCTCTTCCCCTCCGACTTCATCCTGTGGTGTGTGAGGGTCTGTTCTGGGGTGGTGAGGCCCAGACATTACCTCTTTATCTGAATCTTTCCTGACATCCCTCCGATAACAAAGAAGGTGGCTCAATAGGGAGGTTTACCAGGGATTTAAGATTCTTCCTCTAGGTCTGTGTTGGAAACACCAACGTCCACATAAAGCCCAAGGCACCATTAGTGGGGAAATCAGGGGGGCCCACAGCAGCTCTGGGGGCTGGCTTAGCTCCCACCATCCCTTGCAATCTTTGAAGACTGCCAGCAGCCATGTGTCCAGCCCCCATCCCATCCATTTCAGGGGAATGAGAAAAGGCAAGGAGACCAGCCAAGTTACATAGCACAGGATGATGCACTGCTTTGCAGTCACTCAGACTGGAATTCAAATCCCAGCTCTGTGGTGCCCTTTTGCTGCGTGACCTTGGACGAGTTGCTTTAACCCCTCCAAGCCTTGGAGCTGTCATGGATAAAATGGTGGTAATAATGATCCTCATCTCCAGGTAGTTGTGGGACTGGGATTAAATAACATCCGTGCTGGCTGTGGGCCCCTGGATATGTTATTTTGCTTTCCTGTGCCTCAGCTAACCCATCTATAAAATGGGAACAATAACACTTATTCATAGAGGCAGAGAGAATGAAATTGATGAAATGAGTCAGTCTACATAAAGTGGTTAGAACAATGTCTGGCATACCTCAAGGACTCCATCACTGCTCCCTGTTACAGCGTTCCTAGCATGAGTCCTGACACACAGTAGTGCCTTCTGAAGCGCCTGCTTCCTCCCTCCCCTTCCAGGCACTTTTGGGATGTGGCCGAGTGCAGTCAGCTGCCTTCCTCTGATGCCTGGTGCTGGCTCTTGGCCAACTCCTTAAAAAAACTGGAAGCAGTGACTACTTTCTCTTCTCCCTTTTCATAAAGAGATCGCAGAACAGAGGCACTGACCTTGGGCAACCTTGCACCGCAGTGTTTTCCAAAAGACAAAACGCTACAAATCACTGCGGGTGAGCACAGCACACCACCCGCACCCCACCTCCCTTCCACATCCCAGCCCCACCTGAGCAGGACTGCTCTTTTCCTCTCTGTTTTTCCAATTTGGAAGATGCCCCCAGGCAGAGGGAGCAGCTATACCTGGGCAGGGCACGAGGGCCTCAATGTTATGGGATAATGAAGAATCGTGGAGACTTTTTCCCCAAACTCAAACAGCACTTGTTAAGCACAGGCCTGTACCAGACCCCCGGCTGCCCACACTGGCCAGCATTTCCTCCCACCCTATTGAAGCCCTGAGGGGTATGGTTCCCAGCATTTCCAGAGGGGAAGCTGAGGGCCAGAGACCTCGACGACTTACAGCTGACCATGGAGAAGAGGAATAGTCAGAACTTGAACCTGCGACTCGTGACCCTGCGTCTCTCATTCTTTTTGCATTAAGACTCACTCTTTGAATACCTGGTAGAATTCCCTGCAGAGGTGTCAGGCTCTTCGAGCTGGGCCAAAACCAGTGGAAGTCACTGAAAAGTTGATGTCATGTCACAGGAAGCATGATATACACTGACCAGGGACTGATCAGGAAGTTTCTGGGGTACAGGGGCGTTTCCAAGACCTGGTAAAGAAAAGACCAAGGACCTTTCCACCTGGGAGCCTGGAGCACTATGAAATTGGCTCATGCGACAAACATTCCTTGAGCACCTTCTCAGCTCCAGCCCAGGCTCTGGGATGCAGAATGTATGGGACAGGAAATGCCCTCGCATCTTGGAGCTTACATTCTATTTAGGGTAGTGGAGAGGACAACAAAACAACGTAGTGCTCTGAAGAAAGTAAAACAGGGTAATGGGACGGAGAGTGAATGCAGGAGGTGGTGGGGGGACAATATTAGACCTTGACTGAGCGTGGTGAAAGGGAGCTAACCACACGGAGACCCAGGGGCAAAGAATTCCAGCAGCAGAAACACCCTGCAAAGGAAGGGAGATGGGAACTGGTGGGTGAAGTTGGGGAGGAGAAAGGAGGGCAGGGACACCAAGGCACAGTGGGGCCTGGAAGGAATGGGAGGACGGGAGGCCAAAGGTGGCCAGGGCCAGGTCGCAGAAGCCCTACCTGCTGGCCACAGGATGCAGGGCCCCAGGGGAGTGCCATGATCTGATTTTGTTTGTAAACCTCCTCCAGCAGGCAAGTGGAGAAGGGAGCTCCGAGCACAGGCAGGAATGCAGGAAGCCCAATTAGGAGGCCAGCCGGTCATCTGGTGGACCTAAGACAAGGATACAGACAGGAATGGTGGCAATGGAAGTAGTGTGACATGGAGACATTGGGGATCTGGAGAGTCAATAGATTTGGTTGTTAGCAGGAGGCCAGGAGTGACACAGGACGATGGTGAGGACATTCACAGAGACTGGCTCAGGGAGAAATCAAGTGTTGGGTTTAAGCCATGAACACTTTCGTGGAATACCTACTGAGGGTCTGCCCAGCCATCTCCTGGAGTAAATGCCCTTCTTGGGTCTGGAAGATGTGGGGCCTAATGCCAGCTCCAGACAAGGAGGAGGGAGGGGAGGAAGTCCCCTAGTTCTGAGACCTCTTGGAGCATGTAAGTGACAAGGATTCTCTGTGGGGCAGGGCCTGTGCCTTTACACAGCTCCTTCCACTGAATTTATCCCAGCAAAAGAAACCGCGGGGCTAGGCTGGCAATGCCTTATAGCTGAGCCTGCTGCAGGGGAGCAGGGTCGGGGTGCTCCACAGTGAGCCAGGACAGGTTCTCCTGGCTCCCCTTTGTCTGTGTCACCTCAGGCCAGTGGCTCCCCATCCCAGGTGACCAAACACTTATCCCAGCCTCACGCCACAGACAGCTCAGAAGCCGGTCCAGCTCCACCAAAGCACTTCCTGGAGTCAGAAGTATGGCTTTCTTCCAGCCCTGGATGGAAGGGAAAGAAAGGGCACCCAGGGCAGCCGGCCACCCCCTCCCTCCCCTCCTGCAGCCAGAGAAGTTGGTGCTCCCTGCTCAGGACATCCTCCCAACCCCTAACCTCACCTGTAGAGAGATAAGCGGCACTTGGATTGCAGGAACACCATGAAAGCTGGAGAATGTCAGGGCCTGATGGAATTTGAAGTCAGACAAGGAAGGGTTCAGATCCCAGCTCTGCTACCTACTGGGTGACCATAGGAAAGCCGCTTCTATATTGTTTTATCTGAGAATCTTTTTCCTCATCCGTCAAGTAGGGATAGCAGCTACCTATCTCGTAGGCGATTATGTAGAGTAAACACCCCGGCTCACTCCAACTTCTCCTTCAGGTCTCAGGCGTCACATCTCAGAGGTAATTCAGGCCCCCTGGGCCAGGCTGGGCTCCCTGCTAGGTCACCCACCCTAGAATGTATCACACTGTAAAGGGCGGGTCACCATCATGTCCCCGGGACCAGGCACAGCGTCAGACAGTGACAATGCTCAGAAAACTGCTGAGTGAGTGAGAAGCTGCCTCCTCCATCCTCGCCAGTCTCCGCCTCTCTGGAGAGGTGTTCTGCAGTGTCTGGTCACCCTGCAACCACCATGCAAGGAACCAGGGCTGGGCTGTCGCTGAGCAAGAACGCCTGCTCTGGACCTAACCTGCAGCTGGTTATTTAGGGACTCATGTAATTCCACGGTTGGCTGGAGAGCTGGCCCCCAGGGTCAGAGCTGGGAGGATAGGACACATTTGGGAAACCCTCCCACACCCCAAAAAGTGGACCCCCAGTCAGCCCCAAGGCCCAGAGGCAGCGCCGACTGGATGGAAATCTGAGCACTGGATCCAGCCTGCCCACTGTACAGATGGAAAGACTGCAGCTGGGGAGGGCGAGGCTTCCCTGAGCTCACACGGCAGGGACCGCAGCCAGCCTTCCTGTGCATACATGCAGGGAAAATTAGGGCAGGAAGCTCTGGGGATTGGGCTCCTTGCAGCAGCTTGCAGCCTGACAGGCTGCCCAGGCCAGAGAACCAGCCCCGAGGCCTCCTCCTGCCCCAGCTACTGTGGGCAGGCGCCCTGCTGCCCTTCGGAAGCAGCCCACGCCAAGCAGGCAGATGGTCGGCAGGCCCCCTCTTCGAGCCCCTGGGCCCAGATGGCCATCCCCGGCATTAGGTGGGGCATCATAGCAGCAGCAACAGGAAGCCTGCCGCCCGCCAAGGCCCATCGGAGAGGGAGGAGCAGGAGCTCCGGCCGTCTGGCCACCCTGCCCTGCCTCCCAGGGCCTGGCCATTGCTCTAGCTGAGCGACCTAGGAAGGCAGCATGCACAGAGCCAGGGGTCACTTCCAATGGTGCAGACCTCTCCTGGGGAATACTGTTGAAGGTGGCTCCACTCGGGGGGGACACAGCCCAGAACAGATGACTCCTTCCTGGGAGAGTGCCCCCCGCCCCTTCACTGCCTGCTGGTCAGTGACCAAGGGAATTGAGCCTCTCATGCTGCCAGAGACTTCAACCCCTTCAGCCCCTTGCATCTCCAAAGAGCTCCCTGGGGGTCAAGAACAACTATAACAGTAATAATAATAGCTAATGTTCCTTAAGGACCTGCACACTATTTTAAGATCTTTAGAGGTACAACCTCAATCCCTGAGGCAAGGCTATTATTATCATCCCCACTTTACAGATGAGAAAATAGAGGCTCTGAGAAGAAAAGTAAACTTGCCCAAGTCACACAGCTAGGAAATGGCAGGGCCAGGATTCAAACCCAGGCAGCCTGTCTCCAGAGCCCACCTTCCTAAGCACCACACATTTCTGGCTGGGCCCCCGCTGGTGAGTCCCACACAGCACAGTGCAGTGGGGCAGAGAGACACCCTACCTTGGGTTTCTGGGGGTGACTTGTCAGGTAATGAGCTGCCCATCACAGGCACTCACTTGCCTGGGCTGGTGCCTCCTGCAGTGGGCAAGGAGAAGCTCAGGTAAGCACTAAGAAGCAGATGGAAGGAGATATGCCATTGAGAACAGGCGTGTGTGTCTCTGGGAGAAGGCATGGGAGACCTAGAAGGGCAAACACACTTACACACAGCCTCACGCAAGGACACACTCACACGGTTGAACCCCTGATGCTCACACGTGAACACAGACATGAGTGAGCATGTGTGCACATGCATGTGGACACACAGACACACTCAGGCTGTTCTGGAGAGAAGTAGGACTCTACTATGACAACAGGACCAGCCTGAGAGCCCTTAACCTGCAGGAAGAGGTGCCCAATCTTGATGTTTGCCCCCAGAAAAGCATGCAGCAGCCCCTTCCCCTCTCTGAGACTCGACGTCCCCTCCCGTGCAAGGAAGGGGTTGTCTGAGGTCATCTCCAAGATCTTGGGCTCTGTGCCGTCTGGCCAGTCACCTGCGACTCTGTTCCCAGAGCCTGGCAGGGAGCTGTGACTCAGCAGCAAGAAGCCACGCAGGAGCCTGCCCGCAGCCCCCTCCCCTGCCAGCACACACAAAGGGCATCTTGTTACTGCAGCCGGCCAGCGGGAGGGCGGGAGAGGGCTGTGGAGGTGAGAGGCCAGGAAGGAGCCTGTGTCAGCAGCACTGGGGGCAGGGCGGGGAGGAGGCCCAGGCAGGGCTGCTGGCCGGCCACAGGGGCCCCAAGCTGGTGGGGAGGGCCCTTGGGGCAGGCAGCCGCAGGTGGGTGGCTGCAGGGAAAGGCTGGCCCCGGGCTCCTGCATGGAACCCTGTTTATTAAATTCCCTTTTCATTTGTAAGTTACAATCTGAATGAGCTCTCCTGGCAGCAGCTACACCCCTGGAACTTCCCAGCAATGTGGGGCAAAACCCATAGCCCAGGGCTCCCACTCAGAGCCTGAGTCTCGACTCTGCGTGATCGAGACATGGGTGCCCTTTGGATGAGATCATGGCCAGGTCGGTTTTGCCCATCTGTAAAACGGGGTTGCTGAGCTGAGGAGAGCTCGCTGTAACACACTCCCTGGCAAGATAGAAGTCACCTGGCTGGGACGTCCCAGACACAGGTTAGGACACCCTGGTGTCACACTTGCTGCTCCTGCTGTGGGACCCTGGGCAAACCACTTACCCTCTCTGGCCTCAGTTTCCCAGTTTATAAAATGGAGGTAGTGGGAGGTGAGAGGGAACTAGATAGAATATTCTTCCTGGAAATTGCTTGGGAATCATTTTTCCATGTGTCCTACATAGAAAAAGACATGAGACACTCAGGTCCATGCAAGTGAGGGGGTCAATCCAGAGTATATATGTACATGTGTACACACATGTGTACATGTGTGAACATGTGAGCAGACAAGCAGGTGTGTCCCCTCTCGAGTGTGTCCAGCCCTCAGGCCATGCAGGCCCTTCCCTGAGTAGAACAGGGCCCAGGGCAAAGGATTTCCAAGGCTGGTTATTCTTGACACTCAGGGACCCCCTAGACACTAGTGACTGATTTGAGAGGGCCAGGTAAGCTGTGGCCTTGCAGAGACCACTGCTCCAGACACTGTCTCCCCCAAGAATTCAGCAGAACTTGCTGTCAGTTGTCTGTCCACCCTAGACCGCGGTACCACCACTGGGCTGTATCACAAAGGACCCCATATACGTCGCATCCACATGAGTGCTGCCCATCCCCGCCTGAGCTGCACCCACGCCACAGCACTCTGAACTTTCTTGTGTGAGTATCTCACCTTCCCAGTGCCCATCTGTCTCCAGCTCCGCCAGGGAAGGAGCTCTGCATTCTGTCAGGAAAACAGATGGGACAGGCTTTTACGTACTGTGAAGTGCTGTGGGTGCTAGTTGTTCCACTGAATCCTTAAAATCCCACCCATCTCATGAGGTTCACATTCCCATTTAACAGATGAAGAAACGGAGGCCCAGGGGAGTGAGATAGAAGACCCAGGACCTGGATGGCTTCATAAGGGGACATGAGCACCACATCTGTGGTCAGAAGTGGATTCAGAAGCCCAAGGAGATTCAGAAGCTTGAGAATGGATTCAGAAGCTTGAGAAGTACAGACAATGACCCCAGAATCCCGGGCTGAGCCCGGTGACCTCAGTGAGCACAGAACCACCCTGTTAGCTGTGGTCTTAGGGGCAGCCAAGGCCTGTCTATCCAGCGAGCAAGCTAGCCAGCTGTGCTCAGATTCAGACTTCCCATCTGCCCTCCTGCCCATGAGGGATCCCAGGAGGCCTAGCACAGAGGGCTGAACTTCAGACAGAGACCAGCACTGGGGGCTCAGGCCTCAGGCACACCTCACCTGGCTCTTCTCCTGCCCTCCCTGCACCAGGGGCTGAGAGGACAGCAAAGCGCAGCATGGGTGGGCACTTCCCCAGGGCAGGTGGACTGGCATAGGCCAGATGCCGAACTTCCTGGCAATATAACGTCCCACTGACGGCCTGAAATGAGGAGTGGTTACGTGGCCTCTGGGGGCAACATTTAATAAGAGCTGCTATTTTAGGGATCCTAACTTGGCATGAGGCACTTCAAATTTGTTATTTACTTAGCAAATACTCCCCAGTTGCCTTTGAAGTTCTGGGTCCTAGGCGGGTACAAGGACATGATGGGGAATGAAGCAGACACAGCCCCTGCCCTCATGGAGTTCACAGTCTACTGAGGCGGAGGGGGGGCGCCATCTCTAAATAGAGACTCACATATAGATAAGAAACACAGAAGAGACCAGGATTCTACCAGTGTGGGAACCTGTCTGGAACTCAGAACCAAGGAGGACTTCCTAGAGGAAGTAACACTGATCCCAGATCTTCTGAAGAATGAATAAGAGCTATCTAGGCAACCAGGAAGGGAAAAACATTCTAGGCAGACAGAAGCTGAGGCAGGAGAGAGCAGTCTTGTTGACACCTGTAATTTTCATAATAACCTTAAGAGATGGAATAAGGCATCCCATTTTACAACTGAGGAAATTGAAACTCCAAGAGGCCAAATCACCCCAGACCCTACCCATCCAGTTGGGGTGCAGATCCAGACCCCGCACCATGCGCTGTGCATTTCCAGCCTTCAAAGCCTGGCACCTGATGCTGAAGCTTAGGAGGAAAGGTCATGGAGGGAAGAGGCCAGGTCTATCCCTGCCCACAGCCCACATGCAGGAAAGTGAGCGGGGACTCCCACATGTGTTCCCTTGCCCAGTGGCGAGCATCCCACACCCCTCCCAGACAGGGTGAGGGACAGGCATCTCCCCCAACAGCTTTGGAGCTGCTCACCTGTCCAGCAAGGACATGCCCCAGAGCCGCAGCCCCTCACCTGCCCCTACAGCCTGCGGAAAGTGTGGTTGCCTCAGCCTTCCCAGTCACCAGTATGTGAACTGTGGATCCTGCAAGGAGTGAGGGCCTGGGGAGAGCAAGAGGCCTCCCCAGACAACACCTCCCAGGGGAAGTGGCCCTGGCACTGAACCACGAGGACTTTGGATGAAGTGAAATGGAGCAGGGAAGGGAGCTCCAAGTATGGAGCTCAGAGAAGCAAAGGCATGGCAGCAGGGCGCACCAGGGGCAGTAGGGGAATAGTGAGACCTGCCCAGCAGCTGGAGTGTCCCTAATTCTCAGGGGCTACCAAAGCCCTAGCTCCAGAACTGCCCAAGGCCCATCGTGGACCAGACCCAGGACTCAACACAGCCCAAAGGGCACAGTACGAAGACGTAACCTTCCCTTTGGCTCAGTGTGTGAAGTGCTGTGGGTGCTAGCTGTTCCACTGAATCCTCAAAATCTTACCCATCTCATGAGGTTCACATTCCCATTTAACAGATGAAGAAACTGAGGCCCAGGGGAGTGAGATAGAAGACCCAGGACCTGGATGGCACTCCACGAGGGTGTGCTCACTCAGCTCTGGGACACAGATGGGAAAGTGAGCGAACAGACAACATGTGCAGGCCATCCTCACGGAGAGGCCGGTGTGCAGAGCTGCACCCACACCCTGCCCCATCCCAGAGCTGGGTAATGGGGCCAGGAGCAGAGGGAAGGCATACCAGGGCCTGGGAGCTGGCCAGGGGAGGCAGGGAAGCCCTTGTGTTTGTTTCACCTTGCTAACTTTCAGTCCTGAGGTCTGGAGCCCTAGGAGCCAGGCCAACTCCTTGGCCAGACCTCTGTGCAGAGCAGGGCTACAAGACATTCAGACAGTTCTCTGGGAACTCGGGACCATCGGTATCTCTATGCATTCTCCTAATGGCCTCAGCTCTGTTAAATATATTGATGTTCCTGGAATACAAATATCCATAATTTAATTTCCATAAAAGCTTCTTTTGCTTAGAAAAGAGTCCCTCCAAAGTGCCCTAAGCTATCTTCACTTGCAACTTAGGGTGGGGGCTGTTGTAGCCTTTTCGGAGGATAGCACTGCAGCCTGGGTGGGGCAGGAGGGTGGGTCTCAGCAGGCTCTGCTCCCTCATGTCCCTACTCAGCAGAGCTGAAGAAGCCCGTTGCCAGCCCTCAGGCATCCCTGGCCAGACCCACCTCCCACCCCAATCCCAGTTCCGTCTTAGGTCCTCACTTCTGCCTCACTGCCTCATACCCTTTGCTTCCTCATTCATAGGGACACTCTGATCAGAATTCATCCTGGCCCACTGCCTGTCAACCTCCCATAGCTCTTTTTTCTCTAGCTGACAGGCCAGTCTGGCTCCTACCTCCACGCCTAGCTCAGGTGCCTGAAATCCCACCCTGGGTCCATGCCTCAGGTCTCTACTTAGTCAGTAAGCCAGATGAGGCCCACCTGATATTAAATTTAATCCCAGAAGTCAACTCCAATTCGTTGGCATCAGTTTCCTGTGTTGAGAAGGATTCTGATGCTATATGGGGGCTCAACGGGAAAGGGTCATGATTGATGAATGATGTTAAGCACAGTACAGGAAGGATGTGCCACTGGTTTGCTGTAACCAGCCAAGATTCTTTAGCCATTTTAGGAGATGCAAATGTGAGAAGTGTCAGCTCCCAGTCCCATGCCCTGCTCTGTGCTCAGCCTTGGGCTGGGCTCAGAGGAAAGTTAAGAGAAAGGAAAAGTCCTGCCCTTTGACTGACTGGGAAGTGGGGAACACCAGAAGCACTGGATTGAGTTTCCCATCTCTACGTGAGCGTAGGGCAAAATGGCCCTAAAGGTTCTGAGGTCCAGGGAGACAAAGTAAACTGCCAGGGTGCGGCGTGGCCTCTCAAACACACGTGGAGCCTCACGAACCCACTGAGTAACAACAGAGGCTCTGTGTGGCTGGCCCTGAGGTACAGGGCAGCAGGCAGAGCTGAGGTCAGAGCGCGCACACACAGGTCAGAAGGTCAAGATGCTCCCTGTGCTTGGTGAACGCAAGCTGGGCTTTGAAGCGGGGTGAGATCTCTAGAGATCTGGATCTCATTTGCTTCCCAATCCCACCCCTCATAGGATGGGAACCTTAGAGAGGCTTCTTTGACCACCCAGACTAAAAGAGGTCCTCATATAACCCGTTATTCTCCATCTCAGCATCCTGATGTGTTATCACAACGTGCAATTCCTTTTTTCACCTACTAGTTCGATTTGTTTTGTCTGTCTGTCCCAATAGTCTGGGAGCCTCAGGAGGGTAGGGATTAGGTCTGTCTTATTCACTGTCTTCATATCCTAACACAGTGCAGCAATAGAACTGGTTCAAATCATGGTTGTTCAATTAATTAATAAACTGTAGCTGGCCGGGGTCACACACTCAAAACACCTGCAGGGTCAAGCAGACAAAGTCAACGAGTGAGGTGGACATGTGAAGGAACAAGTGCACAGAGTGGCCACGTGGCATATCCTCAGGCCATGCTCAGGGCAGGCCTCCCTGTGCTCCTGAAGTTGTGTTTATCTGACATATATGCAAATCGTTTGCAAGTAACCACAAGGGAATATCTTTTCTGTCTCCAAAGAAATATATATTTTTGGCGGGGCACGGTGGCTCACGCCTGTTATCCCAGCACTTCGGGAGGCCGAGGCGGGCAGATCATCTGATATCAGGAGTTTGAGACCAACCTGGCCAACATGCTGAAACCCCATCTCTACTAAAAATACGAAAATTAGCCAGGCATGGTGGTGCACGTCTGTAATCATAGCTACTCAGGAGGCTGAGGCAGGAGAATCACTTGAACCCGGGAGGCAGAGGTTGCAGTGAGCCAGGATCACACCACTGCACTCCAGCCTGGGCAACAGAGTAAGACTCCGGTCTCAAAAAAAAAAAAAAAAAGAAAGAAATATATACTTCTCCATTTTGCTAGAACAAATGATATTCTCGGTCCTTTTAAATTTTCCTACTTTTGCTAGAGTTGGGTGTACAGAGAAATATTTCCCTACTATACAGAAAAGTAACAGGCCAAGTGAGATGACCAGTCAGCCTCAGCATCAGGCGGCCCAGTAGGTCTCAAAATGGGGCCCTAAACCAGCAGCAGCAGTATCACCCGAGAACTTGTCAGAAATTCTCAGGCAAATTCTCAGGCCCACCCCAAACCCACTGAAGCAGAGACTCTGGGGTGGGGTCCACTAATCTGTATTTTAACAAGCCCTCCAAGGGATTTTCCCATATGCTCAAGTTTGAGAACCAGTGCAATAGGGAGCAGTGGAGACTGTGGTAAACTGGAGAACATACACCCGGCCTGTAGGGGCCTCTGCTGCTCAGCTCCAGCCCACAGTTGCCGCATAAAAACGTGAGCCCAGTGTGGCCAAACTCCCCAGTTATTTGAGGGAAATTGAAAATTCACACTTTCATGTGAAATGCCTTCATTTGTAAATAATGGTTTTTTTTTTTTTAATCTCACGTAGGCCAAACAAAATTTGTCTGCAAGCCTGGGCAACATAGTGAGACCCCATCTCCACAAAAAAAAAAAAAAGAAAAATTAGCTGGGCATTGTGGCACATGCCTATAGTCCCAGTTGCTTGGGAGGCTGAGGTGGGAGGTTCTCTTGAGCCCAGGAGGTCAAGGTTGCAGTGAACTGAGATTGCATCCCTGCACTCCATCAAGACTCTGTCTCAAAAAAAAAAAATTGTCCTCAAATGGAGACCAGCCCAGGTACAGCCAGAGTATGACCTGAGGGGTGGAGGCTTCTCCCCACAAGGAAAGATCCAGAAAGATGCTGTCACAGCTGTCCTTCCTAGACCAGCTTACCTCTAATGGACAGCCCAGACCCCATGCTTCCCTGGGACTCAGAGACCCCTATGTACCGTGTAGGACTGCTTCTGAGTTTTCAAATCCCAGCCAAGGTCCACAGGATCCAGCACTTCCCTGGGTCATGGACCAACAGGCTTGGACAGGCAAAATTCTGGGCCTTGAGATCAGGGTTCAAGGCAGGGCTGGGGGTAGACAGAGAGTACACTGTCCTTTCCTGAGCCCCTATTCCATGACAAGTACATTCCATGACATATACTCAGGGCTCATAGGCATTCTCTCTTTAACTTTTGCAACCTCTCCATGGAGTAAGGGTCACTATGCACATTTTAAAGTAGAGGAAAAAGGGGTTCAAAGAGGTTATGTGACTTTCCCCAGGTCATAAAGCTAGCAGATGAAGGAGCCAGGCTGTGACCCCACATGCACCTGCCTCCCAGCCTATGTAGATCCTAATCTTCCCAACTACCTGCCCCCCCGAAGGATGGGAAAGACTGGGAAGTGGCCAGGGTTGGCCTGCTGTGGCCCTGGAGCCTGCCTCCCTGATCAGGGTCACAACCAAGGCTACGATTCCAGTGCCAGGGGACCAAGTCCAGCAAGCAAGCCCTGGCTGGGGGGGCTGCAGGAGTGAGCAATCCTGGGGAAGGAGCAAATGTGTGCCCTGCTTCAGCCTCAGGGGGGTCTGTCCCTGCATGCAAATCTCCAACCTGGAACTGGGAAGCTTTGGCAGCTGGGCCAGCCCATAGAGAGGGAGCAGGGCCAGAGCTGGGAAGGTTCTAGACCCAGCCAAGCAGCAGGGGCCTGAGCTGTAGCTTGAGTCACAGCCTTGCCTTGGTCACACTAGCCTTTCCGAAGGCCCAGCCGTCAGCACTGGCCCTGGGGTGGACCCCTGTGAGGCTGTGTGGTTGCCAGGGAAGCCAGAAGAAATGACTTACTCCTGCCCCTGCCTCTAATGTCATGCGGTCACAAGTCCCCAGAAGGTCTGGGCTGGCCTGGGCCCTTGCCCTCCCCACGGTGGGGGCTCACCCAGCCTGGGCGCGCTGGTCACACTCAGCTCTGGCCAGGCATGAGTCAGCACTGTCAGCCTGCGTGTGGCCACAGCTGGCTGGACGCTGAGGCCAGCCAGGCCGGGCCCTGGAGGTCTGCTGGGGCCCTGGGGCCTCACTAAAGGGGAGAGGTGGCCCCAAATGACCCACAGGATCACACAAGAGAGAAGAAAAAGGACTAAATAGAGAAAAGCCAAGTACAAAGTAAGAATCTCAAAACTTAAAGTGGCAGACGCAAATTCAGAGTCAGGAAAATTGGCCACACAACACAAACAGACACACACACACGGGTCACTAGCACACGTGTAACCCCCACTCCAGACAAACACCATATGCAGAAGACACACATGCCATATATACACATCCTCGCAGTGTCCCTGTGTCACGCGGAAAAAGCCACGCCTACACAACTCAGCAGACACACACTGGCATTCCCAGAGGATGAGCCCACACAGGCGCCGCAAGCCCGCCGCAGGTCCCGCATGCACTGCCTGTCTGTGACAGATGGCTTCTGTCCAACCCAAGGGTCCGGCCCACAGCCCTCGGCTCACACGGCCATACAAGTCTGGGGACATCATGTCACGCTCGCTTACTCTAAGGGCCCTGAGGCTTGTGAGGGCTGTGGTCAAAGACAGGCCTGGGAACTGGGGTCCTGAGCACCCTAGCCCAGCCCAGTCCCGCCCCGCGGAGGGGCCCGACTGAGCTGGGCCGCGCGCCCCAGCAGCCCCAGCAGCCGCCGCCCACCTCGGCCAGCCTGGCTTCTGCGCCCCGCCAGGAGGTCGCGGAGCGGAGCGCGGCCAGGAAGTGAGCTGAGAGTGACAGCTCCCCCCACGCTGTTTGTTTATTCATGACTCATTCTCTCCACACACTGGCTCTTCTTTCTTTCGGGAGGAGGGGAGAAAGGAGCGGGAGGGCGGGCGGGCAGGGGAGAGGCAGGCTCCACAATAAACAATGAGGCAGCTGAGCCGGTGGGGAGGGAGGAGCCCGCGCGGGGCGCAGGGCCGGGGCTGGGGCCGGGGCGCGGTGTTTCCAGGCCGGCCGGCCCGAGGCTTGCGCTCCCGATCCCCGATCCCCGATCCCCGATCCCCGCTCCTCCCGGCCCCGCCCGGCCCAGCCCGGCCCGGCCCGCCCGCCGCCACCTCCCGGCGACCGGGCAGTAGCAGCCGTAATTGGATCCTCGCTGCCTCCTCCCAGCTCCCCGCCCCCAATCGGGGAGCGGGTAAATGCCGGGTACCTTGGCAAAACAGTCGGATCCAAACCTATTATTTGACTAATGGGCTTCCCTCGTGCGGCTCCGCAACGCCCTGCAGACTCGCCCCTCCCCCCTGCCCCCTCCCCAGAGATGGCTCCCCTCAGCGGCGCGGCTCCGGATAACTGGAGGAAGCGCGGGTTCCGAGGCTTCAAGGGCCTCATTGTTCTGCCTGGAGGGGCACATTGAAAATGCTCCAGGGTTTACTTCCTGTGAAAACAGCCTGGGAGGGAGGGGGCGATCCACGGTGGAAAGACATTATCCTCCTGGAAGCCGCCCAGATTACACAGGGAGAAAAAGGTTGTTTTGATTGTTGCTGGCTCTTTCTTTCTTCCTTCCTTTTTCTTTCTTTTTCCTTTTTTTCCCCTTCCCTCCTCTCTTTTGCTACCCTCCCCGGGCCAAAGATGAATCTTTACTGCTGTGGAGCAAGTTGGAAATGTGGGGCTGTTTTCTGCATAAATAAGGCTGGTGAATGGCAGAGCCAGATATAAAGTCTGATTCAGAGAAATTCAAAAGAATGCAGGGGCGATGAGGTGGGCAAATCCAAGAAACTCATTTCCCCAGCATGCCCCTCTGAGTCACGTCTTGCACCATGAGGGGAAAACACATCACGCCACAATATGTCACATGCCTGCCGCAAAGGAGCAGGCCCGGTGGGAGTCACACAGCTCCTTCCTCCCCAGCCTGGCTCTGCAAGTCCAGAACCACAGAGAGCAAAGTGTCAGCCGGGAAGAGGCGAGGGTCGGTCCCACCAGGCTCCAGGTCAAAGCCTTCTCCTAAGTGAGCTGGGGCAGGAATAGTACTATAGCAGCAGCGCACCCTTGCACAGCGCCCACTAGGTGCAGGGGCCTGTTCTGCGTGCTTTCCATATATTCCCTCATTTAATCCTCACCACGACCCTGCAAAGCAGGTGCTTTTACTCTCCTCTTTTCCAGGTTAGGAAGCTGAGCCCAGAAAGGTTAAGGAATTGCCGAAAGCCACACAGCTGGTGAGCAGGGAAGCCAACCCAGCAGGCTGGCTGCGGGGTCCACGAGCTTGGCCACTGCACTGACACTTCCCAGCTTCCTCAGACTTGTTATTGGAAAGTGGAGACAGTGACACCAGCCTCAATGGGAGCTCAGGAGGGTGCATTAGGAAAATCCAGGCAAACTGTTCAGGACAGCACTAAGCATTAGCTCATGTTGATGGTGCTATTGTTTTCAAATAAACTGGACCCATAAGAACAATTCCTTCCTAACTCACAGGGTTGTCTTGAGGGTTAGGAGAGACCAATTCAAGAGGCCGTCCCCAGGGCAATGCCTGGCCCTCGGCAGGTGCCCGTGGATATTGGTTTTCTTCTGCTTTCTCTGCCTCCTTTTCCCATCCCTTCTCACTCAACCTGAAGATTCTTGTCTTGAGATTTTCCCATGTACCACCCAGCAGAGTAACCATACAGGCACCTCTCCCAAGATCCTCAGCCCCACTGCCGTTCCTGTCAAACTGGGTGGAACTCTACATGGGCCCAGAGTGCCAGCCTTACGCGGGCCTGCCCTGACCACTATGCGGCGACTTCAAAGTGGCTCCCCCAGCCCCTGCCCCCTCCACCTGCACAACTCCATTTGGCTCCGTTCAGCTTGTTCTTTTGGCCACAGCCTCATGGCCCTCTAACACACTCTACAATTCACCTCTGACCGTATTTGTGATGTTTTCTGTCCCCCACCTCCTCCAGCTAGAGTGTAAGACCCACAAGAGTGAGGATTGCCACTTTGTTCACTGATGCATCCCAAGCATAGGAAGCCCCAGTGAGTGTCTGCGGAACGAATGAATTCCCGCTTGTTGACCACTCTTCCCTGCCCGTTGCCTCCTGTATTCACCAGAGAAACTCCCACTCATCCTACAGACCCCTGCCTCTTGGAAACCCTGCCCCATGCCACCCACCCCTGCTTCCTTGCTGACAGCTCACAGTGCACCCTCCTTTAGTCATATCCCTTGTCACTGCGCTTTGCCTCACCGACCTTCCTTCCCAGACCTCCCCACTGGCCCTTCTGGGACCCCACTTCCTTTAAGAGCACCCCCTCTGTCCTCAGCCTTGTGATGGAGGCTTTGCCGCTGGTGACCCATCTCCTCTATCCTCTCTGGGGCGGCTGTTTCTGTTCCTACATCTCACTCCCTTGTGTGGTTCCCAAGATCCCCACATCCCTTTCACATCCCTAGGGGTGTTTCCAGACTGTGAGGCCATCAGACCCTTTCTTTTTTTTTTTTTTTTTGAGAGACAGGGTCTTGCCATGTTGCCCAGGCTGGTCTCGAACTCCTAGGCTCAAGTGATCTGCCCACCTCAGCCTCCCAAAGTGCTGAGTTTACAGACATGAGCCACTGCACCCTGCCCTAGAATGGGATTTTTTTTTCTCATTTAGGGTTCATGCCTCCTGATTCTACTACTTTCCCCTCTCTCCCAACCTCTTGGATCCCACCTTCCTAGCCAGCATCTTTTGCTCCTGAACTACCCAGCCTCAGGTCGCTGCCTCTCCTTCCCTGTCCAAGGTCTGCCAGCAGCTGATGGCCTTCAGCATCCATGTGGGTGACCCATCCAATACCTGGACTCCCCGGACCTCCAGCACCCTTCTCCAGGGACCCTCTAGCCTACTCAAGTCCAGCCCCCAATCCCAGGCCACCACTCGAAACTGCTTTTCCTCTTCCATCTTAACCCCAACATCTCTTCTTTCCCTCTGACCACATTCTCCAACTGCTCCAATGGTTTGGTCATCAGAATGACCCTCTCACCAGCACCCCTGATTTCTTAGTACCCCCATCCTTCCCTTCATCCGCCCAGCCAGACTTAACAGGGGCCAACCCAACCACACTCTTTACACGGCAAGCTTAGGCTGGCAAGGGCCCACAGCATGAAGATTTGGCGCCAGTGTCAACATGAGGTCTCCAGTCTCAACTGCACCGTGGACATGAACCCAAAGTCCTCTGCCTGCTTGCCGGCCTCCCATTTCCCTCATGGGTTCTTTGTCTCACTGACCTTCACCCTTCTCCCTCTGCCAACCTCAATTCCCAGAGACACTTGGCTTCGTCAAAATATGAAGGCCCTTTGGTGGGACCTGCTGCCCCTGCCCTGCCTCCAAACACAGCCCCACACCCATCCTGAGTATCCTCTGTCCAGAATCAGAGGGTAAGGAAGGTCTCTCTTCAGCCTGCCAGCCCACCCTTGCAGTGAGGTGCTGGGCAGGCCCGCTCTGGAACCTCGCCCATCTCTCCCTGGCCTACAGCATGTCCCTCTCTACCAAGACTTCCTGCTCTCACCAGGCCTCTGCATGTGCTCACATCTCTCCCATCCTAAGGAGATCTTCCCTAATCTCTGCCTCTCCCTGGCAGGCCACTTGCTGTCCTCTTCTTGTGGGATACTTTACTGCATTCAGTGCAGTCCCCCACATCCTCACACTTAACAGCTGTGTCCTCCCCGGGACCACGTGACATCACCATTTCTGCTAGCCTCCTACCTCTCTGACCATCCCTCCTCTCCTGCGGGTGCCCCTTCCTCCACCCACTCACTAGAGGCCAAGGATGGCAGGGAGAGATCCCTTCTTCCCTCTGTGGGTCTTCCTGGACCGTCTCACCACCCCTGTGGTTCCCCCACTGCTGTGGGCTTATCCTTTCCAGACGTACACGTCTGGCTCAGCCTCTCCTGCCCTCCAGACCCTGGGTTTCCAGCTGCCTCCTGGGGTTCTGTGGCCACCTTAACACCTCATAGGCACCTCAGACTCACCATGTCTCAACCTGAGATTGGCCTTGAGTTTCCAAGTCGGCTCCACTCCCGGAATTCCTCAGGGCTGGGTTGCACCACTGCTCAGCCCCAGGACAAGGCCACCTTGACTCCTCCCTCTCATCCCACACACATCCCATCAGTCTCTGGGTCCCAACAACTTGACCTCCTAAATGTTTCTCAACCCGTCCCTCTCCCTGTCCCGCTACCACAGCCCAAGGTCAAGCCCTCATCATCTCCTGTCTGGGTTATTGCAACAGCCTCCCCTGCCTCATGCCTCTGCTCACTGAGTCAGCTGCCACACTGCTGCCAGGGTCACCACTTAAAATGCAAATCCAAACAAGCCGCTCTCCAGCTTTAGAACCTGTAAGATGAAATCAAACTGCTAAGGGTGGCCCACCGGCAGACCCAGTGCCCCACTGAGCCTCCAGAATCCTCTCCCTCCACCCTGGGCTGGGGTGTGTGTTATCACAGCACAAGGCAATAATCACTTCACACAGCTTCATGCCTCCCTGGTTTTGTTCACGCTGTTTCATCTGCTGACAGCACTCTGCCCCATTTTCAGTCTGCTTAATTCTCTCGTCTTTCAAGACTGATCTCAGGCGCCTCCTCTTCCAGAAAGCCTCCACTGACTACCCCTCCTCCCACCTGAGGCTGATGCTGTGCTAGGGGATAAGATCATTCTGTTCAAAGTACTTGTTTAGGCCAGTGCGGTGGCTCACGCCTGTAATCCCAGCACTTTGGGAGGCTGAGGCAGGTGGATCACCTGAGGTCAGGAATTCAAGACCAGCCTGGCCAACATGGTGAAACCGCATCTCTACTAAAAATACAAAAAATTAGCCTGTAATCCCAGCTACTCAGGAGGCTGAGGCAGGAGAATTGCTTGAACCCAGGAGGTGGAGGTTGCAGTGAGCCGAGATCCTGCCACTGCACTCCAGCCTGGGAAACAAGAGCGAAACTCCATCTCAAAAAAAAAAAAAAAAAACAGTGCTTGTCGAGATGGGTGTCTTCTCCATAAAGTGTAGGATTCTGTTTTGATATCCATACCCTCAACACCCAGAACTGACTAGGTGCTCAGGAGAAATAGGTGGAGGTAAGAAAGATGCCTGGCACTCAGTGGATACCCAGCTCATGCCCAGCTATCCTCTCCAGCCGTGCTCCAAGCGGAGCCTAAGGGTGGCTCCTCCTTCCATACTTAGGAAATCTTGAAAGTATTGGCCGGGCACAGTGGCTCACGATTGTAATCCCAGCACTCTGGGAGGCTGAGCTGGGTAGATCACCTGAGATCAGGAGTTCAAGACAAGCCTGGCCAACATGGTGAAACCCCATCTCTACTAAAAATACAAAAATTACCCAGGCATGGTGGCACACGCCTGTAATCCCAGATACTCAGGAGGCTGAGGCAGGAGAATTGCTTGAACTCAGGAGGTGAAGGTTGCAGCGAGCCAAAATCGGGCCACTGCGCTCCAGCCTGGGCAACAGAGCAAGACTCCATCTCAAAAAAAAAAAAAGTATTGTGTTGCCTTCCACCCTTTCCAGCGGATGGGTGGCTGAACTGGGCACACCATACAGCATTTAAAATGAGCAGTGTACAATTTTTGGCCAAATCTAAGCCAGATCTTCCCCAGCAGCTCTGTCCCAGCTTTGCATCGGTGTCTGTCACTGAAGCTCCCTTTCTTCCAGCTCTATCTCAACTCCAGCACCTCCCCTCCAAGCTCTCCCTGACTCAGTTTAGTCCCCATACATAGAACCAAGCTGGGGCCGGGAAAAAATGCACCCACCAGGAAGCAAGAAGCACGGTTCTACTCCCGGTTCTGCCATTGACCCCCAGTGTGATCTGAGTTGATGCATCCCACATGGGGCCTCAGTTTCTCCCTTATACTTATAGAGTTATAAGTATCCCCCTTATTCTTACAGAGTTAAGAATAGAACCAGAGTACCCTTTGGGACTTTAAGATCTACATAGAGAATTCCTGGAGGCTATGAATGAGGGTGCAGCCTCGACGTCACCAAGGCGCTCGTGAGATGATTGTGCCCCCATCCATAGGGACCCCATAGACACAGCCTCCTCTCTGCTCTCTATGCATTTTGCTTTTCACCTCCAGCCACAAGGCAACTCTGGTTGTTAAAAATAAAAACAGCCCAGAGCCGCCAGATCCAGGGATGACAACTCTTCTAAACCAAGGGAGGGGGTGCTGTTTTTGTTACAGTCACTGAGCTTGACTCTAATCCAGGAAAATCAAATCGAGACATGACTTGGCCCCTCCGAGCTGGTTTGACCCCAGAGATGTGGGTCAATCCTTGCTGTGGTGGCATCTGAGTATTTCATGCCAACATCACAGAGCAAGAGACAGGAGCACGGTTTATGCGTACTGGGACAGTCAGTGAGATTCGGTGAAGGACATGAGGTACCTAGGCAGCACTGGGCTTCAGGCTGGCACCGGGGAAGGACAGACAGGAGGCAACCCCCTCCTTGGTCAGCCCCAAGAGCATCAGCTGTGCCCCGAGTCGGGGGACTCAGAACATTTAGAGAAAACTCCACAGAGGAGGCAAAATTTGAAAAAAGGGAGAGGAGCTACGACGGCATCAAGAAGGGGCAAGGCATGCCTTTGACCGTGTCACTCCTGCAAAAAGCCTTCCTTGGCTCCCCGCTGTCAAGTGGATGAAGTCCAGACTCCTCAGCTGGCAGGCAAAGGCCTTCCCATGCTGACCCCAGGGTGACCTCTTCCCTCCAGCATCCCTGGGCTCCCCATTCTGTCTCACCCTTCCTCACACACCCTGGGTGTCAGCCTGGGTGGCCACATATGCCAGGCTCTGTTGCTCTCCAGTGGCTTTGCACATGCCATCTGCAGAGAATGAAACGCCCTTCCCACCGCTCGCTGCCCCATCTTGACTTCATCTTCATGGAAAATCCCTTCGTGCTCTTTCAGTCCCACCTCCAGTGACCCTTCTCCACGGAACCTGCCTCAACTCACCCAGCTGGAGTTGAACCATTTGTCCTCCGCTTCTGCAGAGCAGCCCTTTATGTTCAGACAAACAAACAAATAAACAAAGATGTGCTCCACCAGACAAAAATAATCCCTATCCACTAAGAAACATGTTGCTGCCCAGCTTTCGCAATTGCTGTCTCACTTGATTCTCACACTCTGTGGGGTAGGAAGGAAAAGAGTAGCATTGGCTACAGTTCATGATGAGGCACCTGAGGCTCAGAAACCTCGGGGCACTCAGTCATGGTCACTCAGTCACTTGCTAGCATTGAAGAGATCGGCTCTAGATTCTTGACTCTAGAAGGGAAGACACCCAGTTCTGACTTGGTTTGCCCATCTGTCTACCGTACCTCCCTGTCTTCTCAAGGGAACCCCTCATTCCTTGAAGGGGGGGGCCTCATCCAAATCACATGGTGTCCCCTAGAGCACCTAGCTCAGTGCTCAGCACACAGTAGGTCTGATGGTTTCCCAACAAAGAAGTGGAGTCTGAGCAGTGCTGGGGGAGAGGATGTGCAGAGGGAAGGTTCCTGCCAACCAGGGTGGTGTGTCTGGGTCAAGAGGAAGAAAAGGTGATGGGCAGACTGGGGTAGGCAGGGTGAGGCCAACCAGGCCATTCAGGCTGATGCATGGGCAATGGGGAGCCATAGGAGGTTGTAGAGAAAGGCCTGCTTCAAAGGGACTCCAAGCCAGAGCCCCAAGGGAAGAGGTGTGGCCATAAGAGGGACTTCCCAACCCAGGCCAGAACCCCACACTTCCCCTAGCTCAGAGGTGGCTGCGGCTCTGCATGCAGACTTAGGAGGACAGCTTCCTCTCCAGGTGAGAGACGTCAGACACAGCTATTGTGAGGGTCTGGGGAGAGACAGGACAGAAGCAGCAGACCCTGGAGTAGCAGCCTGAATGCACCTCTCCCGGGGGCTTCCCAGGGTTAGAAAAGGCCTGGCTCTCCAGGAGGCTGGGAACAGAAGAGAGAGTGGAGAGTGCCAGGAGTCCCCCAGCCCCAGGCCCTGCAGGAGGGAGGAGAGCTCTCTGCCACCTCAGCCCAGCCCTGCTCCGGGGAGCGCTCCACACACCACCAGCAGACAAGTCTCCAGACAGTGCTCGTGTGTCAGCATTTCTGAAGATGTGGAGGAGAAGTCTGTGGATTTAATGGGACAGCAGTCTGCAAGGAGAACCAACAGGATGGGATGGGGAAGGAGATGCCTCCGCAGGGCAGATGGACAGCAGCCTGGGCACCCAGCCACAGCCATGCAGGGAGCTCTCAGCAGGCCACATTCCTCACATGCTGCAGGGAGGTGGCGCGTCAGGGCAGAGAGGGCTGCACTTGCCTGTCCCGGTCACTAGCACCACATATAGAGTGTGGCTCCTGAGAGGGGGCCCAGGCACAGCCACAGCCAAGAAACTTGCCAAGGGAACATGCTCCAGTTCCCACATGGACCCACATGGACTCTCCACGGCCAGTGGCACAGTCTGCCCCCTGCCTGGGCTTCCCGGACCCTACACATTTGACCCCAGGGCCCCTCACCCCATCATCTCTCAGGCTTCCTAGATGTCTTCCTAGATCTCCACCTCTAGCCCTTACACAGATCATTTCCCCAACTTGGACCAGGTGGCCAGGTGAAATACTGGGTGCTCAGTTAGCTTTGGATTTTAGGTTAACAATGAGTGTTTAGTATAAGTATGTCCCATACAACACGGGAGATACTATACTACAAATGTATTCATTCTTTACCCGAAATTCACCGGGGCATCCTGTATTTTTATTTTCCTAAATCTGGTAACTCCAATGTCAATGCCCCAATCCCTCAACGCCGCCTTTAGTGACAGGCATTCTTCCTTCCATCTAGAGGGTAGGCCCTGTTGGCTTTGCCTTCTGAGGGCCTCTGTCTTCCATTCTGTTCCAGTTTCTCTGTTGCTGTATACTAAACTACTCTACAACTTAGTGACTGATAATGAAAACGATTTTATTCTATCTTGAGATTTGTGTTGATCAGGAATTCACACAGGGTTCAGCCGGGTAAATCTTCCAGTCCCTATGGCGTGCATGGGTGCTACTCAAGTACTATTCAGCTGGTGGATGGGCCCTTCTGAAAGCCCTGTGTTGGCTTCACTCGCATGTCTGGCATCATGATGGGGACGCCTGGAAGGCAGAGCTCCACTGAAACTGTCCTCCAGAGCACCTGTCACGTGGCAGCCTTGGGGTAACTGGATTCCATGGGGGCTCAAGGCTTCCACATGGAGTGTTCCAAGGATCCCAAGCAACCTGTGTGCTTTCTTATGACTCAGCCTTGGAAGTCCCAAACATCACTTCTGCCACATTCTATTTACTGATCAAGCAGTTCAATGCAAGGGCCAAAAATTAGACTCTATTTCTTGATAGGAGGAGCAGCAACGATGTGCAGCCATTTCTGATCTATCACACGTCGCCTCCTCTCCATCCCCTCCACACCGCCCAGGCTCAGACACTCATCTCTGGCCTGTGCGCTTTCCAGCCTCCTTCTGACCTGTTTCCTCACCTCTGCCTTCTGATCCATCCTCCACTTCAGCTACTATGAACTCATTTTTCCTAAGATCCTGGATTGACTATGTTGCTTACTGCTTGATCATTTTCATTGGATCCTTCCTAGACTCTAAGCTCCACAGGGACAGGGAACAAGACCTTTATTTTTTCACTGAGGTGTGCCCAGTACCTAGCACAGTCTAATATATAGTAAGTGCTGAGTAAATATTAGTGGAATAAATACCTGAAGGAATGAGCTGTGGGATAATGTCCAAACTCCATAGCCTGATATTCACACATTTTGGTAATATACCGCCTCATCTTGTCACCTTGAATGTAGCCCTATCATACTTTCCAACATTCCTTAAACGTGTTTCTTCCCTCAATGGCTTCTCATGGTCTGTTCTCTCAGCACATGCTGCTCGTCCTCTCTTACCTACCTTATGAACTCCTATGCATTCTTCACAGCCCTGCTCAAGTATCACTCTCTCTCTGAAGCACCAGTTCCCACAGCTTTTTTCCATGTCAATCAACAATACATTTGTCTCAAATGTAAATTCCACCTGAGATCTAGCTCCCCAAACACATAGTATGGGTAAACGGCTTCCTGAGATCAGGGGCAGCCTGCTAAGTAAGTCAGGCACTTTAATAAACATTCATGGAGGACAACTAAATGCCTCTCCCTTCTCTCAGCCTGAGCAGCATCTCCCAAGGACGTGTTATGGCCTCATTTCTCACAGCAAACCTTTCCTGACCACCACTTCCCACAAATATGCACCATGCTTTATTGGGCCCTAATTTCCCACTGCAGTTAGCCCACACTCATTAGACACTAACTGTATACTGACAGACACCACTCATCCTTCTGATAATTCAGCTAAGATTCCCTGGGAACCTCCAGTAAGTAGGACCTGCACCAGGTACTAGAGACTTGGGGACTTTTGCCCTGCTGCCTGGAGTTCACAGTCTGCTGGGTAGACAACAAGTAAACAAGCAATGGCAATAGAGATCCTGGGGGTGCATATGAGGGATGGCTCTCAGGAGGGACCCTCCATGCCATCATGGGCTGGGGAGGTTGCCAGGGAACTGAGGTCTAAATTTGTACAAAGGAAAGATAGAGGGAACATGGGCAAAGGTCTGGAGGGAAGAACTCATTTCAGGAAACAATTAAAGATCATTTGGGCTGGAACATAGAAAGCAGGGATGGGGAAGGGGGGTTAAGGCAAGAGAGGAAATCAAAAGCCAGGTTGTTAAGGGCCTTCCACATTCAATAAGACACTGGGGCTTCCAGGCAGAGGCCCATAATGCTAATTAATAAGAGTAGCAGCTGGGTGGGGTGCAGTGGCTCATGCCTGTAATCCCAGCACTTTGGGAAGCCGAGGCAGGCAGATCACCTGAAGTCAGGAGTTGGAGACCAGCCTGGCCAACATGGTGAAACCCCGTCTCTACTGAAAATACAAAAAGTAGCCAGGCATGGTGGTGGGCACCTGTAATCCCAGCTACTCGGGAGGCTGAGGCAGGAGAATCACTTGAACCCAGGAGGCGGAGGTTGCAGTGAGCCAAGACTGTGCCATTACACTCCAGCCTGGGCGACACAGCAAGACTCTGCCTCAAATAAATAAATAAGAGTAGCAGCTGACCTCTATTGCCCCGGTGCTGTGTGCCAGGTTGCTTACCTCCATTCAATCTTCCCGGGTGCACTTTGAGATGGATATGGTGATGACCACACCTCGTTTCCATAAGAAGCAGCACTGACTCAAAGCTACCCTACACTTCACCTCAGGTGGCACACCTAGTAAGAAAGAGCTGAGTTTCAGCCCAGGCTGCCTGACACCAGATCCTGTATCCACAACTGCCCATTTACTGAGAAGGGAGCTCAATGGATGGGGACAGAGTCCCATTAGCACTTTCATGGCCTTTCATCTGGGCAGGACACGGTGCCCTTATCGTGAGAGTCAGAAGGGCTCTGAGAAGCCCTGAGTTCTTGTGCCATGTTGGGTTACCCATCCCTAAAATCAGAAGGCTGGAGGACTTCAGTTGATGCCAGGATGGGGATGAGCTGCTCCAAGTCTTCCCTCCACTTCAGCCTGCAGCTCCCAGAGAGCCATGCCCAGGCCTGCCTTTCCCCTGGGCTCCCCCTAGGACGCCGAGGATAGGGCCAGGGTCCCTGCAGGGCCTCAAGGGCACTAGGACTGATTCCACTTCATGACACCAAATTCAAAGAACCCAGCCTCCACTGTCATAGGGCTCCTCTTAGCAAGCAGGTGCCCCTCTCCCCAACAAATACCCTCTGGAGTTCAGGTAGGGGAGAAGGGACAAGGCTACTCAGAGACACCACTGTGCTGGCGCCCAGAATGGCCATGGGGTGAGCCCAGTGATGGTGGCACACGGCAAACCCTGCTGTATTGGGACCAAGCCCAGGTTCCCTAGTCTGGCCTCTCTAAGAAAGAGTTCCAAAGGGGAGAGGGGCTGGCCCAGGTCACACAGCAGGTCAGTGGTGGGTTGGCCCCTGGCCCAGCCAGCAGTCCCCTTTGTTATCAATCACTAATGCTGTGCCTGAGAGGCTGACTATGGTCATCTGGTCAGCTGGTCATCATCCGAGGTGCTACCATTACCACCACAGCCATTCAGAGAGAAAGAGTGAGCAGCCCGGTGTCTCAGTGTCTGCAAGGCACTCTGCTGAAGGCTCCAGGCTGCCCTTGATAAATGGGCATGGCTCAAAGCCTCTCAGCTGTCTGGGGACAGCCTCAGAATGGTGAAGGTGGAGGGAAGAAAGGCGTGCAGCCAGACGGGTCTGGGTTCAATTCCTACACTGCATTCCTAGCTGGGACCTGGAATTTCAGAATGGGAATTCAGAGAGGAAGTTCCAAATTCTTGCTTATCTCAGTCATTGTGATAATGGCCTGGTGGTTATGGAAGACGATGTTCCTATGTCAGAGACACACATTGAAGTGTATGAAGGTGACATGTCATGAAGACTCAAGCTTACTCTTATCCCAGAGCTGCCCAAATGCTATTGCATACATGGATCTCATGGGAACTCTATTAAAAGGCAGATTCTGATTCAAAGGGACTGGGGTGGGGCCTGAGATTCTGCATTTCTAACGAATTCCTGGCTAAGCCCATGCGGCTGGTCCACAGAATACACTTGGAATAGAGAGGATTTAGGATTCTTCAGCAACAGCATCAGCAAAGAAAGATAAGGCAGCCAGGATGGAACTGGATTATGATGGAAGCTGGGTGGTGGGGTAAAAGGAATTCATTATGCCAGTCTCAAGACTTTTTTGGTATGTGGGAGCCGGAGGAAGGAATGGGGAGTGACTGCTAATGGGTACAAGATTTCTTTGGGAGATGATGAAAATGTTCTAAAATTAGATTATGGTGATGGTTGCACAATCTGTAAATATACATGGAACCATGGAATTGTACACTTTAAATGGATGAACTTTAAACAGTAAAGCTGTTAAAAAAAAGAATCGTAACTTTTTCATGGGGTCTTATGAGAAAGAAATGAGCGTATGTAAAATGCCTAGTGCCCTGGGAGGTGTAATAAATGAAATTCCCTTCCCTTAGAAGTTTGCATTTTCATGGATTGAAATTCTTTGAAGCAGAACCCACATGTGTCCAAAGCCAAAAATTAGCCCGTCTTTGGGGTTCACTGACAAAGGAAAGACGGGTTTCAGAGGGAGGCACTGGGAAAATCCTGGAGACCTGGTCTAACACATGGAGGAACAAGAGGAATGGCCCTCATCCTGCCTGGCTGCTCTGGGCCTTGTGCAATGGATGGTTAGGCCCCCACTCCCCAGGGCATGAGTGTTTCCGCCTTCCTGCCCTCGCCTCCATCCTAGTGATGGAAGCTGGATCCAGGGTTCTGATGACCCTGTTAGGCCTCCTATCCTAAGCGCTTCTCCCCTCAACTTTTCAAGCCCAGTACCAATGCCACCTCCTCCAAGCAGCATTCCCCGACCTTCCATATCCCTGGATTCGCCTCTCCCTTAGAAAAAGGATCATTTTCTTCAGCCCAAACTATTAGGTCACACCGACTTCACACCCTGAAGGGCTCAATGGGCAGCCAGCACTTACAGAGCCCTTACAGGTGCCCTGCCAAGCCTCCACTATGGGGCGTACATCAGAGAATCATTCATTCACTCGTGCATTCATTCAAAAATCACCTTCCAAGCTGTTTGATGGGATATTTCTCACCTATTATGAGCCAGTCACCTTGACATCTCACCCTGACCCAGAGAGAGGTGAGCCTGAAGTGCCTGCCACCTGGTGTCATGGGTGCCCAGGATGGACCCAGGGCTGGAAGCCAGGAAGCCTGGGTCTTCATCAGCTACATGACCACAAGCAACGGGCTTCATCTCTCTGGGCCTCAGTTTTTTCATCAACAGAATGGGGACAAGAAACCATACCTGCCACCCTCCCCACCGAGCTATTGGGAAATAAGAGGAGCCCTGTCTGGGAAGCCCACCCAGCTTTTTAAAATGCTCTGCTGCCTATGAGATCGAGCAGCTGAAAGGCAGAGAAAAGAGTCCTGGCCTGGGGAACAAGGCAGCCCCTTTTTCTTCCCCCAGAGAACCTCAGTTTCCCCTTTTGTCATAAGAGGATGACAAGTCCTCCTCCCAGGACTGCTGGGAGGAGAATGGTCTGCTGGGACCTGCCAAGATCAGTGAAGTCAGAGCTCTCATCCAGGAGAGGAGAATAGGTGTGTGGGGGTTGAAGGGGGTGGGGGTTGGGGACAGCATGGGACATCCTGCATATGGTATCTGAGAACAGCAGTGGAGCCTGGGGTCCATGACCCCCTGAAGCAGTGTTACAGCCAGAAGGAGGTGGGCACCACTCATTCAGGAGCTGTGAGCATCGACTCTGGCACCAGACTGCCTTGGTTCCAAACCCCAGCCTCACCACTTACCAGCTGTGGGACACATAGACTTCTTGTTCTTGGTTCCTCATCTATAAAATTAGGATAATAATAATTGCTAGCTTATGGGTTGTTCAGAGGATTTATTCAGTTGATCTAAGTAAAGTGTTTAGAATAGGGCCAGCTCTTACAGAAGCTATGCCAGTGTTAGCTTTCACTGTTCACTCATTCCGCAGGTACCTGCTAGGCAGGGTACTGGGAACACAGCCGAGAAAAAGGCCCAGTGGCCCTACCCTCAGAGAGCAGACAGTCCAGACACACCAGACAGAGAGCTCACAAACTCATGGACAATGGCACATTGTGATAGTGCCAGGGATTAGGCAAACAGGAGATGGAGTGAGCTATTAAGGAGAAGGAGGAACGTATTATTTTGTAGCAGTCAGGGAGGGCCTCTCTAAGGAGGTGTCTTTTTGGCTAAGGACCGAAGGATGTAAAAGAGCCAGTCATGAAAAGAGCAAAGGGGGAGGGGAATGTCTAGGACATAAGAAGGGAGCCATGTCAGTGGCCGAGGGGCCAGGCTGCCCAGGAGCTCGTGTGAGCTGGACTGGCTGCCACTTGTGGGGCCCCTTCCTTCTCCACCTCATCCTTGCTCACTTAGGGCTTTGCTCTCCAGACAACTCCAAACAAACAGGTCTGACCTTGGGCATTGTGACCCCTGATTGGCCCTGGGAAGACAGGGCCACACAGGAGCCCTGGGCGATATGGGACAGACCCAACAGAAAAGGGCTGTGTCAAAAGCGGAGGTTGCAGGAAGGGGCAGGGCACACAGAGTGGCCAGCCAGGTCAGCAGCAGAGCGGTCACTCAAATCATCACTTCTTCCTTCCCGCTGCCTGCTTTCAGCCCCTCCTCCCCTCCTCCTTTCTCCATTACTCTTTCTTTCCCACTCAAGTGCTTAATCAGACTCAGAGGACAAATGTTTCAGTTATTGAGTTCTGTGAAACAAACTATTCCAAAAGCTTAGTGGCTCCTATCAACAATGGTCACTTACTTTGCTCACAAATCTGCATTGAAGGCAAGTCCTAGCAGGGAAACTCATTTCTGTTTCATGAAGCACCAGCCAAAGAAGTTTAACTGGAGGCTGGAGCATCCACTTCCAAGACAGCTCACTCAGATGGCTGGCAAGCGGGTGCTGCTGATGGGCGGAGCCTTGATTCCTCTCCAACCAGACCTCCACATGGGCCCCTCCATGGGCTACTTGAACTTCCTCACAGCATGGTGGCTGATGTCCAAGAGCAAGTATCCCAACAGACAGGAAGAAAGCTGCTAGTTTCTAAAGGCCTTAGTATTTGTTCTGTCGTATTTTATAGTCCAAGAACTTTTAGAGCCAGACTCAAGGGTGGATCCCATCTCTCAATAGGAGAAGTATCAAGACATTTTGGTTTTAAAAGCACCACAGCATATAGGATCAAGATATAAAAATCAATTGCATTTCTTTTTTTTTTTTTTTTTTTTTTTTTTGAGACAGGAGGCTGGAGTGCAGAGGCACGATCTTGGCTCACTGCAAACTTTGCCTCCCAGGCTCAAGCGATCCTCCCACCTCAGCCTCCCAAGTAGTTGGGACCACAGGTGCATGCCACACACCTGGCTAATTTTTGTATTTTCTGTAGAGATGGGGTTTTGCCATGTTGCCCAGGCTGGTCTCGAACTGCTGAGCTCAATTGATCCACCCACCTCAGCCTCCCAAAGTGCTGGGATTACAGGTATGAGCCACGGCACCTGGCTCACCAATTGTATTTTTATGCAATGAACAATCTGAAAATAAAATTAAGAAAAGAATTCATTCACAATAGCATCAAAAAGAATAAAGCATTTAGAAATTTAACAAAAGAAATAAAAAAATTATACACAGGAAACTATAAAATACTGCTAAAATTTAAACAAGATCTACATAAATGAAGATGTAAATAAATGTTCATGAATTGGAAGACTCAATACTATTAAGATGGCAATCTTTCCCAAATTGCCATCAAAATCTCTATCAAATATGTATCAAAATCTCAGCAGGCTTTTTTGGTAGAAATTGACAAGCTCATCCTAAAATGTATATGATAATGAAAACAACCCAGATTAGCCAAAATTTTGAAAAGCAAGAACAAGTTGAAGGACCTACACTACCAGATTTCAGATTTTACCGTAAAACTACAGTAATCATGACAGTGTCGTATTAGTATAAAGATAGACATAGATCAATGCAACCCAATACAAAATCCAGAAATAAATGCACACATGTACAGTCAATTGAGTTTCAACAAAGTGCCAAGACAGTTTAATGAGGAAAAGATACCCTTTTCAACAAATGATGCAGGGACAATTGGATATCAGTATGCAAAAAAATTTTTAAAAGAACTTAGATTCTCACTTCACACCATACACAAAAGTAATTCAAAATAGATTGTAGGTCTCAGCCAGGTGCAGTGGCTCACGCATGTAATCCCATCACTTTATTCGGAAGGCCAAGGTGGATGCATCACTTTAAGTCAGGAGTTCGGGACCAACCTAGCCATTATGGTGAAACCCCGTCTCTAATAATAAAATACAAAAATTAGCCGGGCATGGTGGCGGGCACCTGACATCCCAGCTACTCGGGAGGCTGAGGCAGAAGAATCGCTTGAACCGGGCAGGTGGAAGTTGCAGTGAGTGGAGATTGTGCCACTGCACTCCAGCCTGGGCAACAGAGTGAGACTCCATCTCAAAAAAAAAAAAAAATGACCATAGATCTAAATAAAAGAACGAAAACTATACAATGTCCAGAAAGAAAACAGAAGAAAATCTTTCTGACATTGGATAAAGCAAAGATTTATCAGATATGACACCAAAATAAGATCCAGAAGAGAAAAAGTTAATAAAATAAACATCAAAATTAAAACCTTTACACTTCAAAAGACATTAAGAAAATGAAAAGACAAACCACAGAATGGGAGAAAAGGCTTACAAATTATGTATCTGATAAAGGACTTCTATTGAGCATATATGAAGAACATTAACAACTCAGTGATAAACAAACAATCCTATTAAAACAAAAAGAGTTGAATAAGCACTTCACCAAAGACACAAGATGACTAACCTAATGGGTGCATGAAAAGAAGCTAGCATCATTAGTCATTAGGGAAATGCAAATAAAAACCACAATGAGGCACCCATACATATCTAGTAAAATGGCTCCAATAAAAAGAGACAATAGCAAGTATTGGAGAGGAAGCAGAGAAACTGAAATCTTTATACGTTGCTGGCATGACTATAACATGGTACAGCCACCTAGGAAAACAGGCAATTTCTTAAAAAGTTAAGCACACACTTTCCCATGACACCTGGGTATCTACCCAAGAAAAAGGAAAACATATGTCCACATAAAGACTTATATGCAAAGTTCATCATAGCACTTTTTTTTTTTTATTGTTTTAGAGGCAGGGTCTCATTATGTTGCCCAGGCTGGTCTCCACCTCCTGGGCTAAAGCGATCCTCCTACCTCAGCCTCCCAAAGTGCTGGGATTACAGGCATGAACCACCATGCGCATGGTAGCATTATTGGAAGTTGTCAAAACTTAGAAATAATCCAAATGTCCATGAACTAGATAAATAAAGTGTGGTGTGGCCATACATTCATAAACTACTTTGCAATAAGAAGGAATAAAGTACTGATATATGAAACAGCATGAATATACTTAAGAAACATTATGCTAAATTAAAGAAGCCAGACACAAAAGATTATTTATTGCATGATTCCATTTATACAAAATGTTCTAGAAAAGACAAAACTATATACAGAGAAAGTGGATGCTTAATTTTCCTGAGGTAGAGGGTGGGAGTGGGGACCAGCTGCAAGCAGACCTGAGGGAACATTTGGAATTGTGGTGACACTGCACAACTGTAAAGATTTACTAAAACTCATCAAGCGGAACACTCAGTGGATGACTTTCATGCTATGTAAATTATAACTTGATAAAACTGTTTTCCTAAAAATGCTACAGCAAGGTGCAAGCATGTAGAAGGGGCGGTGGGAGACCCTGGGGGTAGGCCCCATGGAAGGACAGAGGGCTGGACCCAACTTCCAGGAGCACCGAGACCCCCCAGGCCACAGACAAACTTTAGCCCCAGAAAGTGTCTTAATCAGGCCCTGGACCCTAAATCCCCCAGACCCCCAAGGCTGAGGACAATTCAGCAGCTGCTTTACCAGGCCCCAGGAGTCTGTCTTTCACCTCGGGCACCTGCCATCATTCACTCAGCTGTGCTGGGCTCAGTCTGCATCCCATCACCACCTGCGCTGTGCGGTCTAGGCTCCTTCCCCTCAGGGGACTCGCAGGAAGTGTAGCGGGCCCCTAGACCAGTCATTTAACCTCCCTGGGCTTCAGTTTCCTCATATGCTAATGAAGTGCCACTGATTGCCCCGCTTCTCTCACAGGGGAGGGGGAGGTAGGATCTGTGGGGGTGGGTGAGATGGTGCCCAAAATGCTGGAGATCATGAAGCAAATGTGGTGGGAAACTCAACAATGATGCCGTGGGGCATCCTGGGACATGGAAGAGAAGACTTCCAAGCCCAGCTCCAGCCCAAACTCAATATCCCCAAATCTCCCCTGCTCAGACTTGAGGGAGGAGAAACTCAGAGTCCCCCATCCAACCTCTATCATATTCAGGGGCCCTTCTAGCACAGCCTACAAGAGTTAGTGGCCCAAATTAGGCTTGGGCCCCTCCAGCACCAGGGGCCTAGCTCTTTCTAGGCAGCCCTTGCCTATCCAAACAACTCTAAATCTTGAAAAAGCATTTCCTGCCCTTCAGTAGGACAAGATATCCCTCATGACCTCCTCCAGCAACTTGGGTAAGCAGCACTGAGGGGTATCTGACTCCCTGGGCCCCAGCAACGGTCTGAACATTTTGATTCTGGGTTTGGACTGTCACCCCAGCATGTGTATTTTGAAAAAGTTCCCCAGATATACACAGTGCACGACACGGAGATTGAGAAGAACTTGGTCTCCTAGTGTGGTCTCTGGACCAGTAGCAGCACCTGGGAACTGGTTACAGACATAGATCATGGCCCCACCCCAGACCCACAATCTCTTCTAACCAGCCCTGCAGGTGCCTCTGAAGCTGATCAAAGTTTAAGAGCCAATGCTGAGGCTTCAGCCAATGACTGATTTGAGAAACAGATTTAACCTGACCATGGGATGGGAATCCTGAATGTCACCCACTCAGCCTCTCCGTTTCCCAAAGCAGTTCTTAGTTTGAAAACCACCAGTTGTGATGAGTCCTTTCGGTTTCCCCACAAGGAAAAAAAATTGATTAAACAAAAACACCTGACCTGAAGTTTTCCCTTCCTAAGAGAGGTGATAGTGGCCCATCAGTGCCCAGGGTGACAAGCCCAGTGCCAAAACATCAAGGCAGGCCAGGCGGGCCTCACGTTTCCCCCTACAACTGTCAGACCCTGCACTGCAAGCCCAGGGCCAGCCCACCGAGGCAGTGGGGGGTGGCGGGTGGCCATTGTTTCTGTCCTGCCTCCAGCAGGCACAGCAGACCCGAGTAATGACACTGGGGCCTGACAGCCTCCAAGGAACCTTTTTGTCTCACAGCCATGGCCAATGCCCATAATTGATAGGGATTGCGGAGCTGCCACCCTCACCCTGGCTAGCAATTAGTGCTCCCATTGCTGGCTGTCAAGAACTCCTGACACGTGCGGGGAGCAAAGGCTTGTCAGGTTTCTGGCCCACATGGCTCGTTATGCCAGGGGCACGGGCTCCCTGCCCCCAACCCCCTTTGATTTCTGTGGGATGGAGAGGGCAGGTGAGCTGCATCATCACTTCCATTCTTTTTTTAAGATGGTGGACAGAGGCTGCTGGTGACAGCTTCCCTGTCCATTTCCCCTCTAGAGTCTCTGAGTCCTGCACGGAGTGACCATTGGGAAGGGTTCTGGAGGGGCTCAGGTGGAGCCACGGACAGGAGTGGCAGTGAAGGGCAGATGGCCTGGGGGACTCAGGCTTGGGCCCCACCCAGCCTGGGGAGTGGGGGTAGTCATTCTTGTGTAGCCTTTGGTAAGACCCTTCTCAGAAAACTGAGCAGGTAGACCAGATCTGAATTTTCCAAACTATGGGACACATCCCATTAGTGGAGCACAAAACCCATTTAGCAGATGAAGATCGCATTCTAAAACCTGGGTACAGGATAGGATAGAATATAGCAAAACAGAACAGAATCAAATCGAATCGAATCATGTGCATTACATTTAGGTAAACACTGTTTCCTAAAAATTTTGTCCCAATGATATATTTATAGCATGTGCATGTGTACCAGAGTGCAATGCAAAGTTTTTCTTATTGCGAGTAAAGTTTCAAAGCTGCCCCACTGGATGCACGCTTAGTTTCCAGAATGGGGGCTGAACACTCCATCTGTTCTAGGTTGCATGGACCCAAAGTTTACAGAAGAAGACCCTGGAGGAGGTGAGGAAAGGAGAAAGCCCAGATGGCTTCAGGGAGCTTCTAGTCTCATTGGCATAAAAGGCAAATGGAAGACAGGGCACGGTGACTCACGGCTGTAATCCCAGCACTTTGGGAAGTCAAGGCTGGAGCAATGCTTGAGCCCAGGCATTTGAGACCAGCCTAGGCAACATAGTGGGACCTAGCCTCTACAAAACAAACAAACAAACAAACAAACAAAAAACATTAGCCGGGTGTGGTGGTGTACACTGCCCTCTTCCCCTCATCCTACCTGCCAATACTCCCACTCCCTGGCCACTATGTGATCTCACAGACTGGGCCGTCCCTTCCCCTTTCAGACAAGTATGGCCATTTTGGAATACCCAGGTACTCGGGAGGCTGAGGCGGGAGAAGAGCTTGAGCTCAGGAGTTCAAGGCTACAGTGAGCTATAGCTGCACCACTGCACTCCAGCCTGGGTAACAGAGTGAGACCCCTGTCTCTAAAAAAAAAGAAAAAAGAAAGGCAAACAGACAAGGAGGAGGCCACATGAGGCTCAAAGGGTAGGCGGGATCTCACTCACCTCCATGTGCCTCCCACCACCTGCCCACCCTTGCCCAGTGCCTGGCACAGAGGGAGCTCCCTAAACACTCCTCTAAGTGTTTTCCAAACTGGACTCCCATGGAGGGAGGAACACGAGCCTGCATTGGCTGTTTTCTGTGTGGCGGCCTCTCAGCTGGTTTCCCTGAGCCCAACCAGACTGAATAGGGGATGTCAGGGCTCATTCTTCGTTCTGTGCATCTTAAGGGGAACATGCACTAATGGAGTGCACTGCAGGGGGGTATGTGATGCGCTTCCTGTGCACAGAACTTTGCAGTTCACTCCATCAGAATCATCCTGCTTGACCCACATGCAACACACCAAAAGAAGTCCAACCCTGTGTGGTGAGAACTGCAGGAACTTTTACCTGTTGGAACCATGTTCAGAAATGACCATTAACTGACCACCTCTTGTACTTTACGGTTTACACAGCTCTTTCTCATGCCTTATCTGATGTACTCCACTCTATGAAATCAGTATCCCCATCCCCACTTACAGTTGAGGAAACAGAGAAGCTCAGAGAAGTACAGCAACCTGCCCAGAGTCACACAGCCAGCAAGCAGTCCAGCTGGAGGCCACCCACCCTGCCTGAGCCTGCTGGTCTGCCCTCTTCCCCTCGTCCTACCTGCCACGCCTCCCACTCCTTGGCCACTATGTGATCTCAGAGACTGTGCCATCCCTTCCCCTTTCAGACAAGTATGGCTATTTTGGAAAATCCTTGTAGAGCTAAGTCAGGTTCAACAGTGTCCAATAAAGGCTTTATATTTTTCTCTTTCCTATTAAATCATATTTTATTTAAAAGCATAAGGTCCCACATATCACCACTAAAGCAGCCTGCCCCGTGCTGGCTAGGCCTGTACCCACCAGCCTTCCCCCTGGAAGATGCAGATGGCCCCGACCCCTCCCCCCTCCTGCTACACAGAGTGAGGATATATTGGAGCTTATGACTATTACATTGTATCTGTCTTAAAAGCCAGCCCCTCTTTGCAGACACAGACACTCCCCAGCTCACATTTATCAGTTTTATTCCTTTAATGATTCAAACTTGTGCTGTGATGTGCTACTCAGAACGGAGGATTTTATGGATTTAACAGTTTTATTAATTTAAGAGGTTTCCACTGAGCGCCAGAATGGCTCAGTGTGACAAAGAAGGTATCATAAATGAATTGATTTGTCACGTATCAGAATGCGATCCAGCAGTGATTTCATTATTGGAGTTATTTTCCTCCAATTATCTGCAAACTTAAAATGCTAAAGAGCACCCCCTCCGCCCCCACCCCCAGCGGCAGCCGGCCTGGATCATTTGAGCAGGAAATAAATGCAAATCAATGGCCCAAATTTGCCGCCATGTGTGGAGGCTGCCCACGCCTCCCTCCTCCCCTCCACATCACCACTCAGAGGAAACAAAGCCGTGGGTCGGGGGGTGTCTGCATGTGAGGCCTGCAGGCAGAGGCCATCTGCAACCCTGTGTGCTGTGTCCAGGGGACTGGATCTCATCCTCGGTGGGGTCCCAGGGCCTGAAGGAGCCTTGCCTCCCATTCTCTCGTCCAACCCATGGATGATCATGAGAAAGGTATTTGGCCACAGCCCCTCCTGGCCATCCAGGCTTTGGGACATGGGTAGGGTGGATGGTGAAATAAGTTTACAGAGGCTGACCAGAGGGTGTTCCAGTATTGGCTCCATCCACACTTCACTCTGTGGCCAGGCAGTTCCAGAGCCTGATAAACTTTGCACAGTATCCCAAATGTGGCTGCACTCTCACTGCTGGGCTGCTGTGTGCTTAGAAGACACTGCCCCACCCCGAGCCCTCTCGTTTGCCCTTCACCACTCCATCCAGCTACTTCCTACCCTCCATTCCCTCCTCTACCCTTGAGTCCAGGCTGGGCTCCCACAAGCCCCTGAACTCTTTGGCTCTGAGCCCTTCTCCAGTCTGCATTACTCTGGTCCACTGAGTCCTCTGTCTGCCCCAGAAACTTCCCCTGGACCTCAGTTCAGACGAGAGCATGAATGAACCCTAAGTTCCTGGCCAGGACTAACTCCCTGAATCCGCAAGGTCCCTGAGACCCTCATTGGCTGCTGAATTTATTTGTTTGTGCATTCAGCAAACCACCACCAAATGTCAGGCACCCATCTGGGCCACAGACAGCAAGTGATGCAGCAGCCACTGCCCTGCCTGCCTTCAGGGAGCCCCTCCCCATCCGACAGGGAGATATGACATGGAACTAAAAGACAAAAGTGACCAGTGGCCTCACTGAACCACTTAAGCCCCGTAAGAACTCATACAGGGGCTGAGGGCTATACTTCTTCCTCTATACCGTCTGCCTGCCCTAGCTCTGTGCTCCACCCACCTCAGCCTCTCTGATCAATATGGGACCATCAGGGCTTCCCACGAGGCCTCAACAATAGAATTCAAAGTGACAGGGGGCAGTGGGTAATGAAGCTAGAGTTCCCACAGGCAAACCAGCTCCCCTGACTTTCCTGGCAAAGAAGGCCCAAGGCCTATTCGAATCCACTATTTTAAGAGGAAGGGAGTGGAGCAAGAATCGCTGTGTGTGACATACCCCTGAAGTGCCAGGAATGTGCCCAGGGCCCTTCTCCTTTCCTCCTGACAAGATTTCACAGGTGAAGAAAGGAAGGCCCAGGAAGATGAAGCAATCCCCCCAAGGTCACACAGCCAAGTGAGCCCAGGTCTGTGTGATTCCAAAGCCTCCAAAGACACTGTCTCCCTGCCCCTCCATGCCACTACCCAGCTCACACCCCCTTTAGCAACTCTTAGCATCTGCCAGGTGAAATCCCAAGGCTGCAGGACAAGCAGACAGGGCAGCCACAGTGGGGTGCAGCCCCCGAGGGTGCACGAGGGGGCTGTAGAATAGACCAGCTCAGTCTCTCACCCACTGTGTCTTCCTCGTTCCAGTGAGCTGAGGCTGCTGCCAGGCCACTGACAGTTCAGGCACAAGTGAAAGAGAAAGTCCCTGGTAAACTGTAAAGTCTGTGTCCATAAGAGCCAGGATGATTATGGGGGCTCACAGGCCCTGGGGGCCAGAAGGAGCACTGAGGGCTATCAGAGTGCACCCCAGGAGTGCACTCACCTCCCTTCCCACAATTCAGCAAGTCCTGAAAACCAGGCCTCTCCACGTGGCTCTACACCTTCGTGAGGGTGGAGGGGAATTGCCACATCTGTTTGTTTATCAGGGAAGCTGCAATCCTCACAGTTTCATCATCTCTCCCAAAAGTCAAGAGGAAATCAGAAAGTGGCAGGTTTGGTGGGGGGCACGGATGCTAAAAGGGCACAACATGGGCATTCCTGAAGCATCACTGCCCAATCCAGCAGCCCCCGGGAGAGGAGCAGAGACCTCAGAGCAGGTCTGATTGTCCCAGCCTGTGGGAACAGGAGACCTGAAAGCTGGCCTGAGGGGCCCAGGAGGTGGCCAAGGGTGAGCTATCCATACACAAGCCCTACAGAGAGGACTTAAACTAGACCACCCTGGTTTCCTGGGAAGCAGCTGGAGGGCATCAGTCTAAAACCCCCTGGGCAGGAGAAGCTGAGGCTCCAAGGGAACAGTGGGGCTACTCAAGCACCAGGCGATGCTCGTGCTGTGAGTAGGAGCTGGGTCTCCTGGATCCCCACACAGAGATCAAAAGTCTTGGGCTCTCAAGGCTGAGAGTTCTCCACCACCTCTACAGTGTCCCTCTTCCCTTACAAGAGTCCGAAGAGGTCAGCTGCCAGGGCCTCAGATGGCAGGGGGTAGCTACTCCACAGGCAGCCCATTCTGTTTTCCTCCAGCTAATTAGAAGGTTGTTTATGCACCTACCTATGCACAGAAGCCCACTTACTCCTCACACACACATGCACACACAGGTGTATACACACATACACACACACTTGAATGCCACATTCCTGCACACCATGCCAGGGCCAATGTGCGCTCAGATCAGATCACCCATGCAGACTCTCCTCTGCCTGCCCACCTGGGCTCTAGACTGACCAAGACCCCACCAGGCTGTGGGCAGTGCCTGACGGATGAGCTGACACCACCGAAACACGGGGGAAATGACTAGATCCAAGGTGAAGTGCGATTTCTCCCTTCTACCTCGAGTACTTCATTACCTCCCTCACCTCTGATGGCTAATAAAGGTATCTAATTCGTTGGTACTAAAATAGCCTCCTAATGTGCACCAGGACTATCTCCTAAAATTAATGCTATGACAAGTAATGAGGGTCTCCATTAGCTGCTATCTACATGTGGAAATTCTAATTTTCCCATAGTGGGCTAATGTATCTGAAAGCCCCCCTTTGGGGAACCTGACTTCCCAGTCGCTCAGGCTCACAATTCTGACCAGGGGCCACCAGTGACTCTGTGCTCCCCTTCCTTGGCACTCGGAACCAGTCACTTCTCCATGCATGGGCCCAGAGCAGGCTACTGCCTACACTTGCCCTAGAACCTTTAAGCCAATCGTTTGACAGCTGTGCCCGGCATTGTGCTGGGCACTGGTGCAGACACAAGGAATAATAACCCAGCCCAGTCCTTGCTTTTGGGCCAGGCTGAGACAAGGGTTGGGCTGGACCAGGCCCCGTGTTTGGCAGGACAGGTAAGGGTCTCAAGGTGTCCCTGAGCTAAACGAGACAAGGATGTACACATGTATTCTCGGCGGGGCCCTTGTTGGGAGTCATGGTGCTCCCAGGGGTTATAATCTACTCATCGCAGGGGAAATCCATGAATGCTTCTTAGAGGAGGTGGCAGTTCACCATCATTCTTGTTCCACTTGGCATTGCATGAACAAGAGATGTAAGTGGAATGAGGGTATGATATGGTATGGACCTCCACTTTTGCATTCTTTGATGGGACTACTAACTTCTGGGACTCTTCCTAAGATCCATGATTGCATCTGGTTCACTATTTTGGGGTCACAGCCAAGTCCTCCAGGTGAGACCCCGTTCCTCTCCACTGTGCGCAAACACGAAGTATTTGTCAAGTTCTGACTCTCACCAACACATACCAGGCTTCCAACCAGCAATGCCTGAAGGCCACTGGATGAGCAAGGGCCATTCAGGTGACTTGTCTGCCTTCCTAACAGACCATGAACTGTGTGAGGGCTGAGGCCAGCACCTGCAGTGACAGCTACCTGGCCATGAGCTGTGTGGGCATGCTTATCTCCAGCACCCACAATGATGGCTGGCACACGGCTCACCAAATACCTATGTAACTTCACCTCCATTATCCTATTTGATCCTCCAACTGTCTTAGGAGGCAGAAGGGTTATTATTAAGATTCAAAAATCACAGATGGGGAGACTGAGGTCCCCAAAAGGAGAAGCGGCTGCCCAACATCACATATCAGTAGCAGCTGGCACCTAGAGATCTGCAGCAGAAGCATCCTCATTGGTGCCAAGTCCACTTCTTCCTGGGTCCCTGGTACCCCGTGAGTTGAGGGCTGTGCTTGTGACAAATTGCCACGTAGAGGAATTGGTTCATCTCGCACCATTACGCTGGACCAGTCTTGTTTTCTAGATACATGCTGAGCTTAGGTGTCCCAGCTCCAGGGGCATGGCATGGCCCCCACCCAGCCCTGCCTCATGGCTGCACGGTGAGTCTCCCAACTACAAATAGATGGTGTTAAAAACAGAGTGTGGACCCCTTCTTTTCAGCCATGAGTCCACTGAGTTCTCTGTGGGCCCCCTGAGAAAGAGAACCAGAGTCCCTTCTCTCCTCTGCACGATGTTGTCTTGCTCCCCAAGAGCCAGCCCCCACCAGCCATTTTCTGTCCAGTCTGTGCATGGTGGCTTTGGTCAATACCTGTGCATTCCAAACCCATGCTATCGCCTGCACGCATGAGGCTCCCGAGCTCGGGGGCTTCCTCTCTGGAGCACCTCTGGGGCCGCTTATCTCGGCTCAGCAAATCCAGCCCTGCATGCCCCCTTCCTGTGTGGACGATCGCCTGCCCTTCCACCCTCCTGTGGTATTTCCCAGAACATCCATATTGCACAATGGGAAGCATGGCCCCACAGCTCTGCTTCCTCTTGAAAATCCCACAGGCATGGGGGACCGAGGGTATGGGAGACATCTCCAGGAAGGTCCTCTGCTGCTGCTGTCCCAGAGTGCCTTTCCTGCACATCATGTGGCATGAACACTCACTCATCCTTCAGCCTAGTTGTCACTTCCTCCAGGAAGCCTGCTCTGATTACCACCACTGCCCCCTGTCATTTTTCCAGTTCAAAAACATGCTCAGGGATTTGGACTTGAATACCACATGAGTCAGTGAGCAATTGTAAGCAAGGAAGGAGAATTGTTTCAATTGTGATGTAGGAAGGTCCCTTCAGGGAAGAAGTGGTCAGAGGGAAGAGCAACTGGGTAGAGAAAAGCAGCCAAGAGGTGATGTCAGTGTCCCCAGCAGGCAGGAGGTGGCAGTGGCTGGCGGTGGGGTGGGAGCAGTGGAGTGGGAAGGAAGTGGGCAGAACCAGAACCAAGGGGTGGGTAGGAGGCAGGACTGCCCAGAAGAATTAGGGCACCCAAGAGGCAGGACTGCATGGTGGCTGGTAAAATTAGAGCACCTGAAAGACAAGAAGTGTCCAGCAGATCCCCAGAATCTTGTCTGGGGGACTGGGTGGGTGGCATACCCAGGGAGAGGTGAGAGTTCCCTAAGATGGCTGTGGAAACTGATTATAAATGGTACAGTCCTACTCAAACAGTATTTCCTTGGCATTTTGCTTTAAAGATTTCCTTTGCACCTGTAATTCAGCACTTTGGGTGGCTGAGGCGGGAGGATCAGTTGAGTCCAGGAGTTCAAGACCAGCCTGAGCAACATAGCAAGACCTAATCTCTACAAAAAGTCAAAAAAATTAGCTGGGCATGGTGATGCATGCCTGTAGTCCCAGCTCCTTGGGAGGCTGAGGTGGGAGGATTGCTTGAGCCTGGGAGATTGAGGCTGCAGTGAGTTTGATAACACCACTGCACTCAGCCTGGGTGACAGAGACCCTGTCTCAAGAAAAAGGAAAAAAAAAAAGGAAAGAAAGAAAGAAAGAAAGAAAGAAAAAAGATTTCTATTGCACACAGTTCAGCCAAGAATTCCCAGGGCAGCTTCCAGAGACCCTGTGCCCACAGGTCCCTCTGTGACCTCCCCAGTCCTCCCTATCTCTCAGTCAAGGCTTTCCTCATCCTCCTCCAGAAAAGAGGTTGACCCTCCACCCTTCAGGAACCTCTTAGCTTTTTCTCCTCCACTGGCTCCTCTCAGCTGCACAATCAGTTGCCCCGCAGGGAGTGTCCTTGTGACTGGGTATTACAGTGGCTAAGAAAAGCCCTGGGGCCAAGCCACGGAGGCTCAACCCTGGCTTTGTGACTTACAAGCTGATGCCATGAGTGATTTGCTAACCTTTCTGCGCCTCAGTTTCCTCATCTTTGAGATGGGGATGTTAATAATATCAGCTACCCCACTGGTGGGGTTGAGGATCAAATGAGTCACTAACAGGCCACAGGTAGCCACCTAGCCCAGTCCCTGGCCTACAGTAGGGGTTTGGGGAATAGCAGCAAGGATTGCTGTTATTTCTATGATGCCTGGGGTTCCCCCCTTGCCTGGAGAAGGGGAGACAGCAAGTCAAGTCACTAAGTCCAGCCCACATTCAAGGGGAGGCATGTCAAAGAATACACAGGCATATTTCAAAAGCCTCAAGTTTGGCACCTACGTGTGATGAAATGTGACTTAATGGTTATTAGCAATGGTGCAGCTGGCCGGGTACAGCAGCTCACGCCTGTAATCCCAGCACTTTGGGAGGCCGAGGCGGGTAGATCACCTGAGGTCAGGAGTTTGAGATCAGCGTGGCCAACATAGTGAAACCCCGTCTCTACTAAAAGTACAAAAATCAGCCAGGCATTGTGGCAGGGGCCTGTAATCCCAGCTACTCAGGAGGCTGAGGCAGGAGAATTGCTTGAACCCAGGAGGCGGAGGCTGCAGTGAGCCGAGATCGTGCCATTTCACTCCAGCCTGGGCAACAGAGCGAGACTCCTTCTCAAAAAAAAAAAAAAAAAAAAAAAAAAAAGCATTGGTGGCAGCCGAGAGTTGAGTTTGAGCTGCCTCATTCCAGTAGTATCTCGTGCTGATGCTGGGCCATGTGGATGAGCAGCGGCAGGGACCTCTGTTATTCCAGCAACCCTATGCCCTGCCCTTTGTGGGACCCAAAGCTGCCTCCTCCCAAGCCTGTGGGCTCAAGGGACTGCTGCCAGCCGCCCCCGCTGTCTGCTGCCATCCTGTGCCCCCACTCTGAGTCTGCGAGGTGGCCTTACCCGCCAGCTGCCTGGTGACTGTGAAGAATGACAGGCTCCTCCTTCAAGGGTGCGCACTGGCCCTTATCACAAGAGAGTGATGTCTGCGGCACTGAGCCGGGTGATCCTGCCTGCCCGTTCAGCACTCTGCAGAGGGCAGGGCGGCCGCAAGAGACAGAAATTCCATTTGACAAACTCTCCATGTGGCTGGGCAGCCAGACAGGAGCAGAATGAAATCAAAAGGGAGGAAAATTGGCCTAGCTTCCTAACCAGGTGCTGAGTGGATGCACCAGGCTTCAGGAGAGGGAATCAAAGAGGGAGAAAATTGGTGGCCTTGGTCATAAAGGGGATTGATTACCCAGGGACCTGTCACACCCACCAAGGTCAGCAGAGTGGCCTTGGCTGGCCCTGTTTCCTGGAAGACAGGGTGCCTTTGGCAACTTCAATTCACCCGGGTTCAACTAGCTAATAAGTGTGCTGGGTCAGGAGGAGGGTGGTCAAGGTTTTCCAATTATGAGCCCTTGAAGAGAGGGCTTCAGGGCCTGAGAAGGTCTGAACATGACCCCTGTCCATGGGCGGTGGAGCGGGGCTAGAGAGGAGCATGCCTTGGCTTTGCACTCAGATGAAACTGAGTTTAATGACTACCTCTGGTGGGTAAGTCCCTTCCCCTCGCTGAGACTTTGTTTCCCATCTGTCAAATGGGAGTGTCGATACTTTGCTTTATTAAGAGCTTGCTTTGTGCCGGGCACTTTGTGACCTACTTTATGGGTATGAACTTATGTCATCAGAACAGTAATCCTAAGAAGCAGCTGCTATTATTATTATGATTGGCATTTTACAGAGGAGGAAATTCAGGCTCAGGAAATTTAATGTTCCCGGGTCCTGCTATAGGTTGAGCACCAGATCTATGCATGGGTGACTGGCTGGTATGCAAACCTTTGGCCACTGTGCTGTCTGTCATCAAGCCAGGCGCATCCACTTAGGGTTTGTAAGGATTCATGGAGATGTGCTAATGACAGCAAACTAGGAGCCCAGTCTACGTGCTGAAACCAGAATAAGAACTTTCCATGCGTTGACTCATTTGTTCCTCACAATAAACCTATGCAGTAGGTACGACTGTAACCTGCACTTACAGGTGAGGAAATTCAGGCACAAAAAGGTCAAGTCTCTTGTCTAAGTCACCAAATTTATATATGGCAGAGATGGGAATTGAGCCCAGGAGGCTGGCTCCAGAGTCCTTCACTTAACCTTATGCAAAGGCATAGCAAGAGCCTGGCCTGGGGTCCAGCACACAGCACATAGTAGGGCTCGGGGAGGGGCAACCTCAGCTCTTTTCCACCTGGGGCAGCCCTTCTCCCTAAAAGAAACCTAAATGCAGTGAACATGGAGGAAGCCCACGTGCCCACTACAAGTCTGGCTCTGGGAGATTTAGGGATGTCCCCCACCGCCCCAGCCTGGGCTTCCAGCCTGGGCAGGGAATCAGGCTGACTTGGGAATGTCCCTAGTTCAGGGAAGACCAACATAGAGCTGGGAGTGGGGTTGCCCAATGTGCAGGGGCTTCTGGGAAAAGAACAGCAAAAGGGCAGGTAGGATGTGGGAGGTGGAGATGTGTCCTGAGAAAGGGAGAGGGCAGTCCTGACGAGCACCCTGCCTTGAAGAGCTAACAGGTGTGAGGCTGCCAGACAGGTGAGCTGTAGCAGCCCACAGCTGGCAGATGGAACGACTCTCAGACCTCCCACTCCCAAAAGTCTCATGATGCCTGGCTGGAGCCCGGGGGTCACAGGGTGCAGCCAGCAGGCAGGGAGTGTGCTCTCTAGATGCATAAGCTCAGGAGAGCGGCAGGAAGGAGCAGCCAGCTGCACTCCAGCCAATGCTCGGCTCAGGCCATCCCTGCCCCCGGCCAGACAGGAGCCCTGGCCTCGATTCTGAGGGGCTCCACCAGCTTTTGCTCCCATCCTCCAGCCACCTGGGACCCCACCCCTTAAATCACTACCCCAGATCATTAAACTAGGAGTCCGTAATGCTGACACTCCCTCAGAGAGCATTTATCTGGAAAGTCATAAAATTGCACCACGGATGGTAATTAACGATTAGTGAGGTTTATCCCTCTATTGGTTCTGGACTGTGGGAGCCTGTCATAAGGATAGAGGCCAGTGTGCTGTTCTCTCCCCATGGTGGAGGTGGGTGGCTGCCACCGCCTGGTTCTTGAATGAGAGCTGTGCCCACAGCAGAGGTGAACCTCTGCAGCCCCTCATTTCTGGTGGCTCCCAAGCCACCTTCCCAGCAAAACCATCTAGGCTGGCTCCTAACACCTGCCCCCTTATCAGCTCTGTGCCTTTGAATGTGCTGTGCCTCTCCCAGGACACCCTCTCCTCATCTCCCACCCTGTCCATCCCTTCAGGGGCCCTGCTGGGACCACACCTGCATTGATGTTCGCCTGGATGCGGCCAGTCTCCGTATGCCTCCCAGGACTGCATCTTGACCCCTCAGCCAGGCTGGATGCTCCCAGAGAACGCCTGTTTGCTCTTCTTCCATCTCCATCACCTCCATCCTCCCAAACCCAGAACAGAGTATGAGCCCAATAGACCTCACAAATGACCCACGACACTCGAGTCCCACCCCAATCTCTACACAACACTGCTGTGCGGGCGTTTCCACATGGCCCTGAGGACCAGCTCCACACTCCTCAAAGGGGTTCCTGACCCAGACAAGACTAAGAACCTGTGCCAGCCGCTAGGGAAATGGAGACCCAGACAGGAAGTTAGGAGGTTTCTTAGATCTGCATTTTGGGTGGAAGAGCAAGGACTCAAACCAAGGTCTTCTGGCACCGAAGTCTGGCTCCCTAGAAAGTATGGTAGCCCACCTGAAGTCACCTGTGCCCCAGGGTGTGGGCCAGCCCCACCAACAACTCCCTTTGTTACTCCAGGCACGTCCCTGACCCCTGGGGCCTCAGGGTGGAGGTGATGAGCAGAGCATAAATCCGCTCAGTGCGAGCAAGCTCTGCTGGAATCACCATGACAAATCATTTATCCAGCCTAAAATCAGAAGGGACATGGGGTGGGAGAGGCCCCTGGGGGCCGAGTGGGCCTGTTGCGCCTCCTTGGATACAGGCACCAACCTGCGCACTGCCCTTTTCATCTGGTCTGCCTGGCTCCCTATAGGCAGTGCCTACTCACTGCGCTCTCCAGGACAAGGCAAAAGCCAGGCCAGCTCCCCAGGCCCCTGGCCCCTGGCAATGGCATCACTCCCACAGACCCAGAGCTTCCACAACTGAGACAACTCCCAGGGTGCTGGCCAGTTGAGCCCATGAGTGTCCTTATTCACAGACAGTTTATCCTCAGCAGCCCAGTACCCACCACCTGCTGTTAGAGCCTCCCCTGCTGACCTGGGGTCACCGAGGCCCATTAGGATGTCCAGTCCAGCCTTGTCCAAAGGCTTCCCCAAGACGCTCGGTGGATACAAAGGGCCCAGGACTTGGGAAAGCTGCGCGGCAAAGCTGGTCTTAAAGACTGAGAGCCCATTGCACATTCCAGGCCCAGACAAGGCTTTCAGGAGAAAACAAGACCAAATTTCTTAAGCATCCTATATATGCGTGTGAGAGTGTTTCCACATGTACTTTATAAGCACAGAGAGAGACACGCGAGGAAACATCGCTTGCTCTGCAAAGTGAGAACGACGAAGAGTGGTGATGATCGATGTTTGCTTTATATGACTCTGCACTTTGTGTGTGTCTCAGTGAGTCTGCATTTTCTCTGAAATTAAATCAATTATTTTAATAAAAAAGAGTTGGGAGAAAAAGCTGCTGAACTTTAACCCAGCATTTCCCAAACTCACCTGATGATGAGTTGCTGTTCTGTGCAACGCCTAGAAATGTCAGAGATATGCATAGACTGTAGTCTGGAGACAGATAAACTTACCCAGCTTTTAATACATAAGACCATCGTGCCTTCTGATGCTGAGAGGCAGAAACAGGAAGAGGCTTGCAGAATACAGACACTCCATCAACATCAGACTGGAGCCCAGAGCTCCCTACAGCCCAGTCCTAACCCTGCTGCTCTGCCAGTTCCCTCTTTAAGTAGGAGGGACATTACTCCAGGGGTGGTGGAGTGGTTGTGGCAGTGACACAGAAGCACCTGGCAGGGAGGGTGACAGGGCCACAGAGGAGTCGGGCAGAGCCAGTATTGGGAAGACACAAGCTGCTCTAAGAGAAGAACTGAAAATCATGTGATCACACAGTACACCCCTGACATCCTACAGCCACAGACCAAATCCCTGCTCCAGCCCTTCTGGCTTCTACCCAGCAAGTTGCCTAATCCCCCTGGGCATGGAGTGGAATAGGGGTTGGATGGAATGACCCCTAGAGTCTCTTCAGCCCAAGATTCCAGGGGCTTCACAATGATCAGCATGGGCACTATCCTGCAAATCATCGCCTCCACCTTATAAGTGACGTAATCAAGACTCAGACAGGTTAATTGACTTCTTCAAGGTCAACAGAGAATAAAAACGGAGTCCAAGACCCATGCTGTCATTGGCCTTGCCATTGGTCATCCTCTGCTTTGTGGCTTCAGGAACTGCTATTTGTGTCTGAGCCAGCCACAGTGTGAGACAGATGGTGTTTCCAGTACAGGCTCCACCTACTAAGTGTACAATCTGGACCTGTTGAGTAACCACCCTGAGTCTGTTTACTCCTCTATAATTGGGAACATCATCTCATTGGTTATATGGCAATATCATCACATCAACTTAGCACAGGGCCCCACACACTTAAGTTTTTGCTGAATTAGAACTATTATTGTTACCATCATTCTATAAATTTATCCTATGGTTGAGAGAAAAAGGAGAGGCAGGGATTGAACTCAAGATCTACTGATCTATTCAAGATCTATTCAAGATCAGTAGATCTACCTCCTCCTGTGCAGGAGGAAATCTGCACAGACACATTCCAGCCCCTGTCTGGAACCTCAGTTTCCCCATCTATAATAAGAGAGGCTATACTGGGTGACTTCTGGGAGCCCCCAGATCTATAGTCTGCATGGAATAAAGCTCCCATGAAATGCTTTTTTCCCACCATGGGCTGGAGAAGTTTGCCTTCCAGCAACCTATAATCCTTCCTGGGAGATGGGCATGTAGGGGTGGTGAAAGGGAGGAGGGACAGGCAGGAACAGGACCCAAGACAGAGTGGAGAGGAGATGACTTCGGCACTTCCTGTATGCCAGGCACTGGGATAGGAGCTTTACACAGACTAACTCATTCAGTCCCCAGAACAAACCTGTGGGGTTGATACTAGTTAACCATTTTACAGACAAGGATACTTACAACCATAGAAACAAAGTAACGTGCCCAAGGTCACAGGGTTGATGAGGCAGGACTTGAACCCAGACCTCCCAGACCTTCATGGCTTCAAAGACTGTGCCCTGAACCACTGGGTGATGCGAGCTCTGGGTCTGCCTGCAGAGACAGAGACGTGCAGAGAGGGAGAGAGGTGGGGAGATGGAGCCGAGGGAGCAAGGCACAAGGAAGAGAAGAGGCACTGTGCCAGGGCAGCCCAGGCACACTATCTGGGAGGGGAGGGGAATCCCATCTGGAAATCAATTATTTGCCTCCACTGGGGGCCTGTTGAGTTTCAAAATCATTGTGCCCAGGGTAGAAAAGACAGGGCCCCCTCTTTGTGGGGCGGCAGAGGGTCCCCTGGTCCCAGCATCACCAGGAAGGAGGTGCCTGCTGGCCTGAGAGAAAAGCAGGGTCTGAACTCTTTATTTAGTGACCAGAGAGCCACAGCCCAGGAATGTGTGGCCACTGAGCCAGGAGGGCTGCTCCACCCACCACTGCCAGGGACACTCCAGCACAGGTGCCCCCCCACCCCAACAAAGGCCGCTCGCTGGGAGGCAGTGCGCTCCCAGATGCGGTGTGAGGAATGTTTGTCAGCTCTTGACACTAATATTATTTAAGGCCCAAAGTCTAATGTAAGGCTTCCTTTTAGCAAGATTGTCTCATTTAATAAAGCTCCCTGTCTCTGTTCCCCCCAAGGTAATCGCGTTGATGATAACGCATTCCCTGCACTGTGATTTGATCTGGGAATAGAATTATCACCCAGCCTTGCTTTGCTGTCAAATGTTCCATTTGTATTTTTATTTTTTCCCCTAGAATAAGTAAACAGGAAGCCATCCAAGTGGAAGGCTCTGCTCACCTGGGGCCTTCCACGCTGGCCTCCTTACCAGTTCACTTCCTGTCTTCAGGAGCCACTTTCTCATTAATTCAATCAACAAACATTTCCCAAATGACTGTACCTTAGGCTGCCCCTACATTGCGGTCGCCTGAGGCAAGTCACCCAATCTGTTTGAGTTTCCGTTTATTGCTGGGTGGAAAGGACATCATAAGCACATAAGACTAACAGTCAATCAGACCCTGGTTCAAACCACCGCTCTGGGCACGGTGCGGTGGCTCATGCCTGTAATCCCAACACTTTGGGAGGCCAAGGTAGGTGGATCACCTGAAGTCAGGAGTTCGAGACCAGCTTGGCCAACATGGTGAAACCTCGTCTCTACTAAAAATACAAAAATTAGCCAGGGGTGTTGGCAGGCGCCTGTAATCCCAGCTACTTGGGAGGCTGAGGCAGGAGAATCGTTTGAACCCAGGAGGCGGAGGTTGCAGTAAGCCAAGATCGCACCACTGCATTCCAGCCTGGGGGACAAGAGCGAGACTTCTCTAAAACAAAACAAAACAAAACAAAAAAAACCCGCTCTGCCTCTTACCAATTACGTGCCCCAGAACAAGTCACTTCACCTCTGAGGTTTGATGCTGTCACTCAAGACACCACCTACATCACAGGATTGTTGTGAGTAGGGCCAGGACGAGGATGAGCATGCGATGCCCCCCTGGTTCAAACATTAATGAGGGGCTCACCCCCACAACCCCTCTGCACTTGCACAGCTCTGAGAGGGAGGGCCTCCTGAAATTTCGTGCACTCTTAAGAAGGAGGATTAAATGAGATGATGTATGCCAAGTGCCTGGCACATGGTAAATGCTCAGTAGACTGTTGCCGTCCTCATCATCATCATCACCATCACCATCATCACTCTTACTCTTCATTAAGTGAGAAATGAAAGCCCTTTAAAATCTCTAAGAGGCTAGATTGGTATGTGCAGAGTGGATGTCAGACTGGAAATGCTCAACTCATGTGCTGTGTGGCCATGGCTAGTCCCTTCACCTCTCCAGCCTAAGTGCCCAGCTGCGAAACAATGGTGTTCTTAAACTTAGTGACCCAGGTACATGTGAACATGTGGGAGAGCCTGTCACTCACCCCACGCTGCCATCCATCCCTGGGTTAGTGGACCCAGGAAGTGCTAGGAGCCTGGTGGGCCCCAGGCTGCAGATACCACACACAAGGTCACGCCTGGTTAGCAATCGAGTCCAGCATGCAAAGAGGGGGTGCTGGAGGGCTCCAGAAGAACTAGCTCCAGGACTTGGCAGGGCTCAGCTGGGCTGACAACTTCTTCCTTCTTACACATCACTAGCAGATCCCTGAAAAAGGGCACAGGATGCAGAGCCAGGGCAGCAGCCTTTAAATTCTGCCTCTTCTGGGCATTTATTGTGGGACCTCAGGCACTCGGAGCCCAGGCTCCTTCTGTGTCGTATGGTGTATCCTGATAGTCCTGGAAGAGAAAAGTCACTCCAGAGGAGTAACTAATGAAGGGACTTTTTAAAAGGTAGGAGCAGGGTTAAAGACTCCAGAAAGGGCTGGTGAAGCACCCCACGGTTCACAACATTGGGAGCCCCTACTACCCTGGGGCTAAAAACAGAAGGGGAAGGAACAGTTCTTAAAAGCCCTGTGGGGCCAGCACTGACATGAAGGAGACAACAAACCGGCAGGGGCTGTGGCATTTGGTAGGGAACCACAGTCCTTGCTATCCCATGTGGTTTGTGGATTGAACCAGTGAGTAAGTAAATGAATGAATCTGATTTCCAGCCTATTTATCCTATGGCCGATCACATTTTCCAAATGGCTGCTTCAATATCTCTCATCCCATACACTCTTCTTCCAATAGGACTTTAACACTTCTTGAATCTGGGCATAGTTGTGATGACAGCAGAAGTGACACTATGCAACTTCTGAGGTTGGGTCAAAATGTGATGCAGCTTCCACCTGGTTCTCTTTGGGATGCTCATTCTTGGAAGGCAGCCACCATGTGTGAGGAAGCCCAGGCAGCCACTGGGAGAGGCTACATATAGGTGATCCAGGAGACTGTCACAGCTGAGGTTCCAGCTGACAGTCAGCATCAATTGTCACATGTGACTGACAGAGCTTTCAGATGATCCCATCCCCCAGCCTCAGTCTTCCAGACTGAGGTCCCAGACACTGTGAAATGGAGACAAGCCATCCCTGCTGTGCCCTTTCTGAATTCGTGACCCTTAGAATCCATAGCACAACAAAATGGTGGTTGTTTTAGGCTATGATATAGTTATGCAGAAATAGTAACTGCAAAGAATTTCACTGACTGAACTCAGCCACAGCCACAGCCCAGTGAACAAGTGAATTGTTTGCTTCAGTCCATAACGGTCACCCTCCCTGGGCACACAACGGGGTGGAGAAGGGTGAAGAATGAATATGAGAGGGAAATGGAGAAAATCTACCACACATAGGGAACATAGGGTGTGAGGGTTTTAGGACCCAGACTGGACAGGTGCTCCATCCATCCTAGCAGAATCTAAAGACCCATTCTTGGCCAGGCAGGCACGGTGGCTCACGCCTGTAATCCCAGCACTTTGGGAGGCTGAGGCGGGCAGATCACCTGAGGTCAGGAGTTCAAGACCAGCCTGGCTAACATGGTGAAACCCCATTTCTACTAAACATACAAAAAATTAGCTGGGCGTGGTGGCGCGCGCCTGTAATCTCAGCTATTCGGAAGGCTGAGGCAGGAGAATTGCTTGAACCTGGGAGGCAGAGATTGTGGTGAGCCAAGATCGCACCATTGCACTCAAGCTTGAGTAATAAGAGCGAAACTCCATCAAAAAACAAAAAACAAAAAAACCATTCTTAGTCCCACTTACCTGCACTATTGCCCCAGCCGCCTTTTGCATCTCCTGCCTTTCCCAGGCCTCACCTGACCCAGCCATGCCCATGTTACCAAAGAACAGCGCACCCCTCCTACCTGCTCACTTCTGACTTCTCAGCTCATGCTGCCGGCCAGGCCCCAAGGCACTCCAATCCAAGCTCCTCAGCCAGCAGAGGCTCCATACACTCTGGCCTGGCAGGTGTTAGAGACTTCCGGGTTGGGGGATCAGATAGCTAGAGGGACTGACCTTCTGACTCTGCCCAGTGCATGCACACCAGGAACCTTCCCTCCCCTTGCCTTCCTCCTGCCTGGAATTCCCTCCCCACCATGCATCCAATGCCATCTCCATCATGAAGCCTTCAAAGAATTGACCCTCAGCCACTACAGCCCTGTTCCTCCCTAAACTCTGCCCAAAGATACAGATGTGGTTGTAACTTTCCTGAAAATGACATCAGGAGAATTTGAGGGCAGCATCTGAGTAAGAGAGATCATGTATACAAGATTTGTCTCCCCAGAAATATAGAAGGGCTTCTCTAACCAAATTTCACATGTGCCTTCCTTTGGTAGTCCTGGGCAGATCCCATCACTACATGCTGAGAAGTCATCACTAGCTCCAAGAAGCCTCCTGGCCTCCCTATGCTCTTTCAGCATCTTATATATGCTTCCCGCCAGCCCGAATCTCCCAGTATCATAACTAATCAGTTACTGAACCGTGACTGCCATGGAGCAGGGCCCATGTCTTCTACTTGCTCCTAAAACAAAACCCACATTTGGTATTTCCGTCACTGTTAACAAAATAGCTTTGCATTTTCTTATTTAATTCTCACAGCAACATGTGAGGAAGGTGCCATCATTAGCCTCACATCACACATGTCACAATTGAAACTCAGGGAGGGAGCTGTCTTGCCCAGGGTCACGGGGTGGTGAGGACCAGAGCGGGGACTCAGAGCCAGGTCTGGCTGCCTCGGAGGTCAGTGCCCTCGGGCACACACATTATGATTTCTCACCTCTCCAGCTCCAACACTGAGCACGAGGCTGAACAAGGAGCAGGCACTTGATAAATATTTGTGGAACTGCACAAAACCTTAACCAATTCTCATTGCATGACTGAAGCTCTGATACCGAAGAGAAACCAAACCACCTCAGTGATTTCCAATTCAAACAGCACCACCCGCTCCGTGAATTCTGATGCACTGATGTCTTTTGTTTTTGGAGGGGTTTTGTTGCTTTCAGCAAGGAGAGTCGAGAGTCAGCAGCGAGGAAGTACACAGAGTTCCCCTAGGAAATTGTTTCTGCACGGCATTTCAGATGAGAGATGGAAAAACATTTCAGAACACAAAGACTTTGGTTATCACAACAGCAGTAAGAGAAAGGCAGGCAAGGACTCAGGCCCCCATTTAACAGATGACAAAAACGCAGGCCCCCAGAGTCAAGGGACATGTGCGAGGTCACTCAGAGAGAAAAGGATTGATACCACCTGTCTTGATGCCCAAACTGGGGGAGAGGGTCTTGCAAGTCCCCTGCTACCACCACCTCCAAAGGCACTGGCTCTGAACACCGTGGCCTGTAGGAAGGAAGGAGGGCACAGCTCTAGGAAAAACATGTGGCAGCCTCACTGGAGCACAGAGCTCAGCTCTGAATCCTGGCAGACCAAAAAGAAGCCTCTCCAAGGCTCCCCAAGCCTTACTGCCTCCACCCCACAGTCACCTCTTCTGACTTTCCCTTTCCCAATTTCTACATCCAAGAGGCAGATAATCAGAGCATGTGGGCTGAATCTCCTTCTCAAACCATGCTTTACAGAGGAAAGGGAGGAAGCCCATATCCCTTCTAGGCAACTGGTGACTCTGGCTGGGCTGGGGCTTCTCAAAAGACTGTGGCCCTCAGAGGACCCACCTTGCTAGGAGGTGACTGGAAACCCCCCCACCCAATCTTTGCTGGAGAGTCCAGCCCCTAGCTCTGGGATGGAAAGTGGTGATAGAAGGGGCCCAGCATCAGATTGAAAGGAAAAAGCCCTCTTGTCCTTTGACTTCTTGTGTGACCTTGGGCGGAACACATCTCTCTGAACCTCTGTTTCACCATTTGTCAAATGGGACTCCTATTACTCACTGTCCCTGGATCTTGGGGTAAATGTCTATCTCCAGAGATAAAATGATGAAGCTGAGCATCGTATCTGCTTTAGTACTAACTCTCAGCTCCTGTTTCTGACTCAGGCTGTCCCAGGCCCGTCCTCAAGGCCTGGAGGTCAGCTACCCTGGCCTGAGCCAGCAAAAGACCAGTGGGCCAGCCTGGATGGCCAAGTGTGGTTGCCCATAGCAACTGGAATCAGCCCACATTCAAGGGACAAGGTCAAGTCTTAGCTGAGAAGGGAGCTAAGCCAGTTTCTCAAGGGCAGCATTGAGCATCCACACAGAAGGGAGAGAAGGCAGGAGGTCAGGAAGCACAGAGGCAAGGCTGGACAAGATGCCAGCAGCAGGGTGGTGAGTCCAGCAGCTCAGGAGGAAGCCTGGGAACCAGACCCATTCAAGTCAGGGGATAACAACCCAGTGCACAGCCTGGCAGCACACAGCCTGCAGCATGTGGACCAGGCTGCCGGGGGTCTGTATGGCCACAACCTAGACAGGGGAAGACCCCTGTGTCCCAAAGGAGACCTAGTACCAGCACTCTTTAGCTTATAGGCTGAATCCTGGGTCAGCCCAGGAATAGCGTGCTCTGAAGTACTTTGCATAACTTTCCTTGTTCCCCCCAAAAGTGACTTAAAGCATATGTAAATCTATAAATAGGAGATATATAAAGATATGTAAAGTACCACAATAAAACCTAAATTAGAAATGGATAGGAGTATAAGAAGCAAAATAGAGAAAGGGCCAGAGATCTGGCTAAATCAAAAATGAATACCATAAAGCTGTAAATGTTGTTTCAAAGGGTCAAAGTTTTAGACTTCAACTCCCTGGAAGCAAGTGCAAAAGAGGAAATCTGATCAATCACACAATGTCCATGATATAAAATTAGTAAATCAACCCATAAAGCCTGATGCTGGGAAAGTCATAGCTGTTTCTTGTCTGCTTTACAACATTTTTCCAACAGTCCTCATTATAAAATTCTAAGAGACACAAAGACAGGTCTCATGGAGATGTTTTGGGGGAGCAATATTAATACCATACCAACAGACATTTTCGTAAAAGTAGTCCTATAAGGACCAAAATAACATGCTATTGAAGTCATCTTCTCCTGGCCTGGCTTAAGTCACAGTCAGATGAGGCTGGAATAGTTTCAGTAAGGAGCATTATTGCTCTAGTTAGTTGTTTCTTTATCAAAAGTTAATTTGGTCAACCTGTGTTTGCTGAGCACCAGCACCGTATGGGGTTTTGGAGAAGCAGACGCAAGCAACACAGATATGGGCCCTGCCCTGCTGGAGCTTAAGGTCTTAGAGGGGGAAGCTGTAAGTAAACAGGCAGTTACAGACTGCAACACAACCAGGATCCTCTCTGCACTCTCTGAAGACCAAGGAAGAGCCTGATATCGCACAACAGGGAAGGCTGCCTGGAGGAAGTAAGGTCTCAGATCAGCCTGAAGGGCCAGTGAAGTCGGCCAGGAAAGATCCAGCAGAAGGAGAAGCAGCAGTGGCTGGACCACCAGAAGTCAGGAAGCCGAAGAGCCCATTGCCGCCTAGAGCTGCCTCTAGGACCACAGCTGGGCAGAAGCCCAGAGGACAGGCCTGGTTGGGTGGGCCCATCACCTGGCCACACTGTCAGGCAAAACTGAGAGTGTGGCCAAGCTGGATGCAAATACCCCAGCACCTCAGCTCCTGGAAGAGAGGTTGGTGGCCCTTCTCTCTTCTCAGGGGTTGGCCCTGCTGCCCCAAACTCAGGGATGTGGGACCCTCTTGGATTGTTCACAGCCACGGCAGGCTCAGCTTGGAGAGGAGCAGCAGGCAGTCCTGTGGGCAAGCCACCCTGGGATATAAAAGATATGAAAACTGACCTGATTCTCTTAGAGCTGAAAGGCCCTGAGACAGAAGCCAACCCAACTTCCGCATCCTAAAGATGGAGAAACTGAGACCCTGACAAGGAAATGGACTTATCCAAAGTCACGTGGGCTAAGATTCCAGAAGTCCAGAGGCAGGAGAGACCAGAAGGAAGGAGGAGACTGGGCAAGTCAGCCAGGAGTCCCAGCAGAGAATGTGGAGAAAAATCCCAGAAGAGGCTCAACAACAGCAGAAATAGCCCCAAGCTCAGGGTCCATATCTGAGACCTTGGCCATGGGGCCATGTCCCCTGGAGCTGCAGTGGGGATGATGCTGACCTGCCCCGCAGGATTACTGGGAGGACTAGGGAATACTTACTATAAAGTCCTGTGCACATGGAGATGGTACCAGGGTCCAGAAAGAAGGTGACTTTGGGGCAATAGTAATGGGCTACACTGATCACAGCACTGACTGTGTGCTGGGCACTTCTTAACAATAACCCTCAGAGTAGGTATTTTTCATCCCCATCTTACAGACAAGGAAATTGAGTTCAGTAACTTGCCCAAGAGCTCACAGCTCTGAAGAGGTGGCGGGGCTAATCTTTTTCTTTTGCTTTTGTTTTGTTTTGTTTTGTTTTTTGTTTTTTGAGATGGAGTTTTGTTCTTGTTGCCCAGGCTGGAGTACAATGGCACCATCTCGGCTCACTGCAACCTCTGCCTCCCGGGTTCAAGCGATTCTCCTGCCTCGGCCACCCAAGTACCTGGGATTATAGGCATGCACCACCACACCGGGCTAATTTTTTATTTTTAGTAGAGATGGGGTCTTAAGCTCCCGACCTCAGGTGATCTGCCCACCTTGGCCTCCCAAAGTGCTGGGATTACAGGCGTGAGCCACTGCGCCCGCCCAATTTTTTTCTATTTTTTGTAGAGATAGGGTCTTGTTGTGTTGCCCAGGCTGGTCTCAAACTCCTGGGCTCAAGGATCCTCCCGCCTCAGTCTCCCAAAGTACCGGGATTACAGGCATGAGCCACCACACCAAGCCAATATTCTTAGTCATATACAAGAGGGCCTGAGGCAGATCCAGATGTAGGGTGCTCATCTCTGAGAAGGCAGTGGGTGGAGGAAGTTCAGTACTCTAACCCCCAGGAGATGCAGGGCCCCCCAGTTTCATGCCCTTCCCTTTGCACAATGCTTTGCACTTAGAGTTGAGCCCAGCCAGCTTCCTAGGAGTATGGGGAGATGTTGTGAGTGGGACCCCCGAGATGACTGCATGGCACTTCATAGCTGGCATAGCTGTCCTGGTTATCTATGGCTGCATAACAAATCAACTATATACCTAATGGCACAAAATAATTTTATTATGTGCCCAGATTCTGTGGGTCAGCAGTTCAGACAGAGCACAGCAGGAGAGATTTGTCTCTATTCCATGATTTCTGGGATTTCAGGAAAAACTAAAATAGCTGGGGATGTTAGATGGCTAAGCTCAGCTGGGACTGTTGACTGGAGCACCTAGACATGGCCCCTCCATGTGGCTTGGGCTTCCTCACAACATGGCAGCTTCAGGACAGTGAATCTTCCTACTTCTTTACATGGTGGCTCAGGGCTCCAAGAGTGAGTGTTCCAGCAAACAAAGTATAATTTGCAGGGGCATGGTCTTTACTCACTTAGGGTCTCTTCTGCCATACCCTATGCAAAGTGCTGGAATTACAGGCATGAGCCACCGTGCCTGGCCTGTGGCCATGTTTTAACACCACCACAATTGCCATGGGTTGCCAGGCAGCCTGGCAGAGGAACACTGCAAGGACCCGTCCCTTCATGGCAGATTCAGAAAGGCTGAAAGGCGTTATGGTCAGTCAGGGAAGACCCAGGAGCCACTCAGGCCCACACAGACCTCTCTGTGTGCCACTGGCCTCTTGCACCCCTCCTTTGACTGTGACGTTCTCCCCTGGAGGGATCAAGAGGTCAAACCAGGCACTCAGAAAGGCAAGGGCCATAGTAGGGTGACCTTGAGTGAGCCACATGATGTCTGGGAGCTTTGCATTCCTTGCCTGCATCATGGCAGATGTTTCCTCTCTCCCACGGTTCTGGGGAAGAACAGAGGAGAGAATGTATATGAAACCCATTCACCCAGTAGGTTCCTGGCCAAAGCAGGTTTCCTTCCAAGGGGAATGGGGTGGGGCGGGGGTGCCACAGGCAGGGAGAAGATCTGAGGGCCTGACTCACTGGGTTCTCTCCCAGGGACTTAACCAGGGTGGCGTGTCTGCACTTGAAGCTGCAGCAGGCACCTCTCAGGCCTGTGGCTCCCAGCTCTAATTACAGATTTCTGGACATGTTTCCTGTTTGGGAGCTGGCAGTGTCCCCGCAGAGGATCCACAGATAATGAGCAGCTGGCTTCAGAGGCTCCATCCATGGGGCACTGACCTGGGAGCAGGCCCAAGCAGGCCCGCCTCAGACAGCAGAAGGCCCTCAAAGGTCATCTGGTCTCAATTCTTCCCCACATCACACTCACACAGGACCAACACCGTGATCACCATGACCAGTCTCTGCTTGCACGGTTCCAGTGATGGGCAGCTCACCACTTCACAGCCAGTCTGCTAATCTCTAGACATCACTCAAGACAGCACTGGAAGCACTTCCCAAATCAGTTTGTCCTTTAACTTCTAGCTATTGATCCCCAGGTCCACCAAGAACAATGAAACATGGAACAGAAGAAGGGCGCAGACCCTGGGATCAAGAAGAACTGGCTTTGGTTCCAATCTTAGTTTTTACGCTTGCAGTCTTGGTCTCTTTGATCCTCAATATTCTTCTCTGTAAAATAAGAATAATGCTATCCAGTATGAAGGGCAGCTGGAAGAGTGGAAGGTCATAACACGTGTGAACACACCTGGCACACAATAGACACCAAGTGCATGCAATTCCTTCCCCTTTCCCTCTTGGACACCTGCATTAGGTAGCTTTTTTAGGATTATAGATCAGAGACACACACTCAGATTCAAGCAAGTGACCGGCCTGAAGACCACAGGTACACTTGGAGGATAAAGGGGACAGAGGCCACCTCTTCTGCCACACAGTGGTGTCTCACGGCAAGCTGGAGGAGCCCAGGGTCCCGAGCCTTCCCCTTTCAACTCCCGAGTGCAGCTGAATGTCTGTTGAATGAAAAGAGGGTGGATGGCTGGCTGGATGGTTGGATGGGTTGATGGATGGATGAATGGACAATGGAACCATTTAAATAGGTTTCTAAAACCTGCCAGGAAACACCCACCCCTTTTAATTCTAGCCAAACTGAATGTCATCTTTTTGTCGAGAAATAGAGTAAAGCAGTGATGTTTAAACTTTTCTAAGCATCAGAAGAGGACTTGTGAAACAGATTCCTGGGTCCTACCTCCAGAGATGTTAATGTTCTAGGGTGGGGCCTGAGATGTTGCACTTCTAACCAGCTCCCAGCTGTGGCTGAAGCTGTTGCTCCACAGGCCACACTTTGAGTGTTGTGGAAGAAAGCAGACAGTCAACTTACAACACCCTTTGGAAAACAAGCACAGGAGCAAGATGAGGTCACTGGCCTGGGAGAGTTCAGCAGGAGGGAGTGCCCCTCCCAGCCCAGGGGTGGAAAGTGTGTTATGACACCAGCCCCTGCCTCCCACCACTTCAAATCTTCTGCTTTCCGTCTCCAGCCTGGGATCTCTCAGAAGCCCCTGTGACACCACAATGGCTTCATGGCAGATAGGGCTCTGGTCCAGAAGATAACACCTCCCCACAGGAGTTCAGGCTGGATGGAAATCTCAATAAACAGGGCGGGATGTGCAGAGGGTAAGGCAGGCCATCCACTCACTACAGGCCTTCCAGCAAGGGCTAGAAGGCCTAGAAAGAAGAGTGTAATCTTCTGGCTTCCCAGACACACACACTTGCACGCGCACACACACACGCACATGGAGGAGGGCCCAAACCTCTCCCCTAGACACCCAGAAGGTCTTCATTGCTTGGGACCCATCCAGCCATGGTTCCCATGGCTGATGGTAGTAGGGCCTCACTTCAATATTCAGGTCAGGCACTAACTTGCTGCATGGCCTTAAACATGTCCTTTCTGTTTTCTGGGTCTTATCTTCCCATCTGTAAAACAAGGTAGATGGATTAGGTCTTGCCTAGAGAAGGAACTGACATTACCTGAGCCACTGATATGTTTATTTATTAACTTTTCTCTCCAAAATATTTGATTGAGCAATTCCTATGAACCAGGACCTGATCTATAGCACTGCACAGGAGAGATGAAACAAAGCTCATGCCTCGTGGAGCTGGCCCCATGCTTTGCACGAAATGCCTGATTCCTATGATCTCATTTAGCCTTTACTACAGTCACCCACAGGAGTTGGGTGCCATCATCCTTGCTTTACAGATAAGAAAACTGAGGCATCGGCAGGGTGCGGTGGCTCACGCCTATAATCCCAGCACTTTGGGAGGCCGAGGTGGGCAGATCACTTGAGGTCAGGAGTTCAAGACCAGCCTGGCCAACATAGTGAAACCCCATCTTTACTAAAAATACAAAAATTATCCAGGCATGGTGGGGCATGCCTGTAATCCCAGCTACTCGGAGGGCCAAGGCGGGAGAATCACTTGAACCTGGGAGGTGGAGGTTACAGTGAGTTGAGATTGCACTACTGCACTCCAGCCTGGGCAACAGAGAAAGACTCTGTCTCAAAAACAAACAAACAAGCAAAAAACTGAGGCACAGATAAGAGGCAGGGCTGGAGTTTACACTGTCAGTGGTTCCACAGACCATCACGTAACCCTGAGACCTCCACTCTTGACCAAGCCCATGTCCTCTAGTTCTCTGTTTGGGTGAAGGTCATCCCCTCCTCAGCACCCTTCCATCAGCCTCCAAAGTCCACACCCCACAAGGAAGCGGAAAGACTGGAGGCTGCAGGGAAGGTGGTTCACACTCCCCGCCCAGATTTGGAGGTTCCAGGCTGGGCTGAGGCTTCTACTTCCTCCCCGCTGAGAGGGCAGCTCCGGGCCAGGCTGCTCCCTTGGCACGGGGTGCCCTGAATCACAGGTGCTCTAGGGGTGCTGCCAGGTTCTTTTCAGGGCCCCCATCCCCACCCACCCTACTCATCATTCACCCTTAGTGCCCATACATGACCTGAGAGGCAGAGGGAGCCCATCCCTTGGGTGCTAATGCAGCATGGCATCAAAAAAATGAGATCGGTCCAGCATCTGTGCATTTACCCACAAGATTGCAATCCAGAACCTAGAAAGAGGCTATTTTAACTTCAACTTGCAAGGAAGCTTAGCGTCACTATGGAAAATAAACTTGATGTTGAGCTACGCAGGGTGGGACTGGACACCACCATGATCCTGTCAGTACTTGGGGCGTCAAGGTCTCAGCCAGCCTTGGCTCGATGCCTCACTTTCCCACTTTGAAGATGTGCCCAATCATTTTCTACTGCCTGGAAAACTTCTCCTTTCCCTTCTGCCTCCCCTAAATGCTCATTTTTCATGGCTTCATTTACCTACTGCGTCCCCCAGGAAGTTGTTCTTAGCCCCGGCTGCCCCCAGTCCAGCTCAAAGTTCCACCACTGGACGGCTGAGCTCTGGGAACCCGGTGCCCTGCCTAGGCTAGGCTGTTTGCTGGGTTCCTCTGGCCTTCCTCAGGGTAAGGAAGATCACCGCACACCCAAGAGGCCCTGCAGGGCTTCAGGCACCACCTGAGTCACTGCTTTTCTTCGAGAGCCTGCAAAGCTAGAAGGCAGTATTTGCCTTTTACGCTGTCTGATGCAAGCATACTGTGGCATTTTTCTAGAGGATTCAAGACCACGCGGCTCTCAAGAAGTCGAATGCAGAAAGAAGCACACAGGAGAACCCAGTTGCCTCCTCTGAAGTGAATCACCAGAGAGATTCACAAAAACCTAAAGGAATGTCACTCTTCTGCTCAACTTTCTTTGTTTTAGGAAAATAGTTATTTTTTATGAAAAATATACGTTCATGTGTAGTGTTTATTCTTGTTGTTCTTAAAGAATTAAAAAATATTTTGTAATTTCTCAGTTTTAATTTTTAATGTGGTAAATATCCAGAGATATTTAACAATATTTTGCCTAAACCAAAGCTCTTTCGGGTCGTCAACAACTTTTCAGAATGTGACAGGGTCCTGAGGCCAGGCTTGAGGACGGCTGGAGGAAGTGTCCCGCCCACCACAGCTGATTGGATGAAGGGCGGGACCTGACTAGTGGGCAACCAATCCAGAGGCAAACGGTGGTGTGGGAATCGGCAGGGATTGAGGGGAGCAACAGGGCTATGCACGGTGAACTGGGCAGGCAGCCGAGGGAGAGGGCCTGTAAGGAGGCCTGGAGGGAAGCCAGGGAGGAGTTAGGGCCGCAGAGCAGCCACGTCTATAAGGAGCAGGGGCTGAGGTCCAGGCCAGATACACAGGAAGAAATGAATGCAGGAGACGGCGTGCAACAGGAAGAAGCAGAGAAGCAGCGGAGACGGAGGTACCTGGGGATGATGCCAGGACTGCAGCTTCAGGGACTTGTGGCAGATGCACAGGGTGCCTCTGGCTCCCTGGAGCTCCACACTGCAGTCCCAGCTCTGTCTGCAACCCACTGCTTTGATTCACCCAGGTTCCCACAATGATGCTCGTTTCACTCAACCCTCCCGTACTTGAGGTCAGCTGAACACCTCTTTTCTTCCCAACCAAAATAGCCTTGAGTTCTGTCCTGGCTCTGGGATCCAGCGGTCCCTCGCAGTCAACGTGGAGATGCTGAGTGCAGCTCATCACGAGGACTGACATCATCACATATGTAAGGGCCTGGCGTGTGCCGGGCCCTCAACAGGTGTGGCTAATATTAGCATGCTTGCTCCTCCCTCGACTGCTACTGTCATTATTAGCGGTGGTATTAATATCACAGCAGGAAATGGTCTCCAAGGTCACAGAGCTTAAGCTCTCAGTTTTACTGAGGGATGAACAGCAAGGCCAGGAGCAGGTCAGAAGCAGAACTGGAACCAGAGCCCACTCTCCTGTCCTGTCCAACCGGTCCCAGTGAGAGTGTAAGCTCCCTGGGGGGAGGGGCCATCCAGCAACCCCACATCCACACAACCGTCCACTCCTCTTCTCAGAAGTCATTTCTTTCAACACATCCCATGGGCTCTGTGCCAAGTGCTGTCTCCACAACAGGGTTTGGTCCAGAATTGGTTCAATCAATGTTTGTAGATCGATCCTTGGCCTCTCCCATCTGGCTAGACACAGGGAATCCAGGCCAGGGGTGGGGGTTGGAAAGGGTTCCAGGAGTCTTCCCCATGAACACCAGTCACCAAAACGTCTGTTACTCCCAGCAGCTCTCTTGTACCCACCACCTGTCCTGAGTTCTTCAGTGGAGAGCAGGGCCTGAATCTTCATCCCTTTAGCCAGAGAGGAAACAAGGCCCAGAGAGGTATAGTGCCTGTCTCAGGACACACAGCCAGCAGTAGGAGAGCCAGGGATGGAAATACAGGTCTGTCAATGCAAGTTCCTGATTCCAGAGTGAGCTGAGATATGTCAAGTATGCCTGACAGTAGGTAGCTGAGAGCAGGGTCTCAAGGGTAGACAGAGGGGGGGGGGGTCAGAGAGGGGCATTCGTGGGGTATGGACATCACAGAATCCAAGCCCCTGAAATAGCCACCTCTTCTACTGTCTGATAACTGAGCAGCTCCAGCTTCAAACACTTCACACTCAAACAGTGGGGCATCCATGCCAGAAAAAGCCTGGCTGGCCTGCAAAGGAAGAAAGATGGGGCCACTGGCCTTGCAGAGCCTCCCGTCCCAGACAGGGTAGAGTGTGGAGAAGAGGTGGCAGCCGCGCTCAGAGCTCCAAGAGAGCCCCCTGGGCAGGAGCTAGGTGGGCAAGCAGAAAGGTGGGGAGGCCCTGCCTATAGAAGCAGCAGCCTGAGTGAGCGCTGGGAGCCTGCAGAAGAAGAGGTTGGAGCCCAGCAGTCTGGGCAAGGATGAGGCCAGGTCTGGTGTGGGGACCCTTTATACCCTCTCTTCCCACCCTGTACTTCTCAGTCCCAGCTGGAAGCATGATGTATCTCCCCAGCTAGATGCGAGGCTCCCTGAAGGCAGGCCTGGGGGGCTCACTGCTGAATTCAGAGCCTGGCCCAGAACAAGTGCTCAGTAACTATGCGGAGTGAGTGACAACAGATACAGGCTAGGAGGGCCTGGGATAACTCTGAAAACAGAGCTTCTGTGCAACAGCAGGCTTAGCCCTTGTTTCCTGATAGATTTTGGCTGTTGCCACCAAGTGGGAAAGGGAGTGGTGGGGGAGGGGACCTGGAGAAGGGGAGTGACCTGACAGCAGAGGTGTCAGCAAGGCCCAGGAAGGGGTCAGGGCCCCATCCTGCAGGAGCAGCTCTGCCGGCAGCTGGGTCAGGCTCCCAGGTCCAGAGACGCCCCATGCTCCACTGTAGGGATGAGGCCACAAGGCTGGTCTTTGCCCCCTACTAGAGTCTGAGGCTCCAGCAGCTGATCTGGGCCAGCTCGGCAGAGAGCTGGATCTGGGAATAGGCTTTCCTCACTAGGCTACAGGAAGGAGCGATGCTGCTGAGGCCTGATGTTCATGCAGGGAGAAGGCTGGGGTACCAGTGATGCCCAAGGACAGCTCCTCTTACACCCATCCCTGGTCCAGCTCCCTCGTTGTCCTTAGCAAGTGGGGGACCAACTGAAGTCTCTGAAGTCTGCAAGGTGGGGCCGTCAGCTGAGGCCCACAATGACGTCTGTACTCCCCCAGTCACAAACAGGCATGCACACACCCACAGGCACACACTGACACACACATGCCCAGCGTGGGCTCTGTGCAGGCGGGGTCCTGCTGCAGGAAGGGCTGGTGCGGCTGCCAGGCAGCAGGCCCAGCACAAAGGCACAGGGTTGGGGGGGCGGTGTTGGCGGCACAGGAGTGGGGGAGGGCTGCGAGGGATGTGGCTCAGAGCCTAACAGGCCACCAGCAGCCGTGGCATCTGCTTTTTCTCACCTCTAAAGGGAATCGATTTGTCTCTGACTGATTTCCCTGACGTCTAGTTTTCTTCTCCGCCCGGCTGTCAGCCCAGCCACTGCACACAGGGAAGTGCGGGGGGAGCACCTTGACCGCCTGCCTGCCAGCCTCTCTGCCGCCTCACCACACCACCCCCTCACACACACAACACACGCTGCACTCACACTCACACGCCCGACAGAGAAACCCACACCCCACACCCGCACCACAGCCTCCCGTCCAGACACCCACACTCCCACCTGACAGACAAACCTGCCATACACCGTACAGACATATGTAGACAGATGCATATGCAAGCATGCACACACACACAGTACAAACACAGAGACAGACCTGCCACACGCGATACAGACACATAGTTTTACTGTGTGTAACATAGGTATACAGACACTCTCACACACGCACCACAGTACAAACACACACACACACAAACACACACTCCCACTCCACAGACAGACCTGCCACACACCACACAGTATAAACACATACACAGACACATGCAGACACATCACACACAGAAAGATGGACACACACACACATAGACCCACACACAAAGCCTCCACACTGACATCCCCAAGTACCCCAGAGTCACCACCATAACCCAGACACACACACACACACACACACACACACACTACATTACCACTCTCAGATACCAAAAGGGACACTGGCACACACAAGCCTCACACTCTCAGATGGCCCCAACACTCACGCACCCCACACATTCACACAGCCACACAGGCTGCATCCCTGCTCACACAGCTACACACACCACACACACACTCATACTCCCTGATCCCCACCAACACCCCCCTCGACACGAGCACCCACAGTCATGCACACCCACACAGTCCCAGGCCACATGGGCACTCCTCGCTGTCCCCGCCCACCCCAGCAACCCCTACTTCATCGTGGAGCTGCTCCTGGCCCCCCGAGAGTAGTAACGGCCCCCTTGGTGGAGGCAGACATAGGTGTGACCCAAAGAGGTGGGCAGGGCCTGGCTGGGGGGCACGGGGGACCCCAGGGTGCTGCTCATCTGGACAGGCTCGTTGCAGGGCAGCCTGGGTGAGGAGCTGGACCCTGGCAGGGCTGCAGTGATTTGGGGCAGGGGTGGGGGTGCCAAATGCTCAAGATTACCAGGATCAAACCAAGCTTTTCCAGCACAAGGGCAGGGCTTCCCGGCGCCCCAAAGGACCTGGGCAGTCAACAATAATGATGGCGGTGAGCAGAACAAGGATAATACAAACTGATCCTCTCTGTGTCCACAAAGCATGTTCCCATCTGTGACAGCTCTAGATTGGATCCCGGAAACATCCACTAGAGTTGGCATTATTCCCACCTCACAGATGAGGAAACCTAGATCTGAATCTGGAAAGGGACTTATCCAGGGTGCGCCGTGGGCAGTGAATTTAGACCTGGAATCCAGGTGCACCAATTCCCTGGCCAGAACTCCAACCAACCAACCAACCAACCAACCAACCAACCAACCAACCAGAACTCCAGATAATGGTCCATCTGTCCTCAGAATCCTCCTAAGGCCATCCACACTGGCACCACCTGCCTAGGGAACACTAAGGAAGCCCTCAGCATGAGCCCTGGCAAGGGGCAAGTACATGTGTACGTGTACATGCAAGGTGTGTGAAGGTGTGCATGACTGTGAATGCATGGGGCAGGTGTGGGCAGCAGGCCCCACAGGTGGGTGTTGGGAGACAGCGTGTCTATGTAGGTCACGTGCGACTGTGTAGGTGGGAGAGCTGTGTGGGTAGAGGTGTGCCGCCAAGGGGATCCAGATGCGGCTATGGGTTTGTGTGCATGTGAGGGTGCCTGTAGGAGAGACCGTGTGAGGGTGTATGTATCCATGGGAGAGGTGACGTATGTGCCCTGAGATGAACACACCAGCATGTGTGAGCATGGCAGTGCACACCCATCACAAGTGTGCTGACCATGGGGCATGCTCCAGATTAGGGGGCGGATCCCCCCACGCACCTGTCTGTCTCTTGGTCGCCTCCCCTCCCCTGGGGTTTATCTGGCCCAACAGCCTTACTCGCAGCCCAGGCAGCAGATAATTGATTAATAGAACTGGTGCTTGGCTCTTCAAGGTCTGGCTGGAGATAAGCAGAGACTCGAGTACCAGCGAGAGGGGGGTGCTGAGGATTTGGGGCTACCCTCGGAGCCCACAAACCACAGACACCCCCGTCCCCAGCCTTCACCCACCTCCCCCTCGTGCCTGTGGTCCACACACCCACCACGGTAGCACATGCAGGGCAGGAGCCCACAGTAAGCCACAGAGTGCAAAGCTGGGCAGGCCCCACCTCCCACCCTGCCTGCCTCAGAAGCTGAGCTGAGCAATGAATGGCTGCTGAGCAAATAACCTCCCAGCTGGGAGTCCACTCACTCACCACTTCCTTCACACATCCATTCTTTCCAGCACCTGACCTAGCACCTACCAGGTAGGGGGTGCAGGTGGCACCAGGAGCTCCAGAGGCCAGGCAGACACAATCCTACCTTGGGGCCATCACAGCCCTTGTGGCCTCTGAGGACCCTCCCAGGCCAGCAAGACACATGAGGAAACAATAACGTCAACCCCAAGGCCCAGTCACATAAGGAGAAGCCACGAGCTCAGACCTGCAGTTCTTTCCACCAGGTCCCTGGCAGGGGTCAGAGAGGAGGGGTATTTGAGAATGAACATGCACGGCATGTCCAGGAGCACCAGATAGGAAGGCTGCCCCCACCCCACTGATTTCCTGTTATGTGCCAGACACTGTGCGGCAGAGCTGTGTAGGGGGCTTGTCCTGCTACCTGCCAGCAGCCCTATGAGGTGAGCACTGCTACTCTCCAAGCTAAGGGCCTGAGAGAAATGAGGGTAGACAGATAAGGTTCCAGAAAGACCCTTCCCTTAAAAGAAAAAGGCCATGACTGTCAGCAGAGAATGCTCAGCTTCTTCCAGGGCTCTTTCCAAGCTAGAAGGAAACCCCCAGGGCCAGACGATCAGGATGGTTAGGGCTTCCTGGAGGGAGGGCAAGAAGGACAGTGGGGACGTCTGTCCCTAGCTCAGGTGCAGGGGGCAAACTCATGGCCCCTTGCTGTTTGGGGTGTGGGCATATACCTGCAGCTCCCAGAATGCCACCTCGGAAGCCGGGAACCTTCTGGGCTTGACAGTCATCCATCCCCTCAAGGAGCAGCAATGGCCAGATGGCCTCTGGGGCAGCTGCTGCCTCTACCCTGCCAGGCAGTCTTCTGGAACATTCCCACCATCGTGGCCTGGCCCCAAAATGGTGCCCCAACAGTCTCCCTCAACATAGCCTACTTTAGACCCTTAATTTGGAGAACTATCAAAGGCCAGGGCCAGAGGGCCAGTGGGACCTTTTTTTTTTTTTTTTTTTCAATGGAGACACTTCAGGCAGAGACAGCAGGCAGCAGGCTGGCTTCTGGTCACCAGGCAGGTACACAGCAGGACTGGGATTTGAACTCAGGCCTCCTGATGCTTAGCTCAACTCAACCTTACAGAGAGTACAGGGGCTAAAGCCATCTCATGTGAGACCTGATTCAATTTTCCATCCTTCTCTTTTTTTTTTTTTTCTTTCTTTTTGTGGGGGGAAACAGGGTCTCGCTCTGTCATCCAGGCTGGAGTGAGTGCAGTGGTGCAATCATAGAGCTCATTGCAGGCTCCAACTCCTGGGCTCAAGTGATCCTCCTGCCTCAGCCTCCCCAGTAGCAGGATGACAGGTACACGCCACTACACCAGGGTAATTTTTCTTTTTAATTTTTGTAGAGACAGGGTCTTGCCATGTTGCCCAGGCTGGTCTTAAACTCCTGGCCTCAGGCAATCCTCCTGCCTCGGCCTGCCAAAGTGCTGGGATTACAGGTGTGAGCCACCGCAACCAGCCTCCTTCTTTCCTTCTTTCTTCTACTACTTCTCCTGCCCCTTGTTCTTCACCTTCTACTCTTCTCCCCCAAGCCCTGCCTAATCTCTTTCTTTTTCTCATTTTTCCTTTTCCTCCTTCTTCTTCCTTCATCCTGCTCAAGTGAAAAAATAAAATGTCCTCCTCTGGTTGCAGATAGGAGCATCTGTCTGTGTGAGGGAGACCTCGGGGCCCTATTCCCCGTTGCGGTGGGCAGCATAACAGCCCTACCAGAGATGTTCACACCCTGGTCCCTGGAGCCTGGGAATATGTTAGGGTACATGGAAAGGAAAATTAAGGCTGCAGATGGAGTTAAGTTTGCTAATCAGCTGACCTCGGGATGGGGAGATTATCCTGGATTATCTGGGTGGGCCTGAGGAAATCACAGGAGACAGGAAATGGAAGAGGGAGGCAGAAGAGAGCCCTAGAGAGGGGCAGCATGAGAGGTACCCGGCCTGACACTGCTGGCTTTGAGGATGGAGGGAAGGCCATGAGTCAAGGAACACAGGCAGCCTCCAGAAGCCAGAAAGACGAAGGCTTGGACTCTCCCTTAGAGCCTCCAGGAGGATCGTGCCCTGCTGACACCCTGATTGTAACCCAGTGGGACCCACTTTGGAGTTCTGGCCTCGTAACTGTAAGATGATAAACTCCTGTTGCTTCACGTCACAACTTCAGTGGCCATTTGTTACAGCAGCATAGGACATGAACATACCATTCCATGCCTCCCACGGCCCCCCAGGTGCATTTCTCCAGGGATGGGGACTCCCTCCAATCTCAGCCAGCTCCCACTACTACCAAATCCCTCCCTGTGGGATCCAAAATTGTCCTCCTTGGAGCTACTTTCCAAAGCATCCGCTCTGTTCCCCCTGGGCCCCTCTCTGCTGGTGATCATGGGATCAATCCCCTCCATCCTTTTCTTCTCTTTGCCCAGCGATCCCCAGAATTCTTTGCTGATTGCTCTGCCAGAAACTCCCCTCAAAGAAATCTCATTTCCTGCTCAAAGCTTCCCTCAGAGTTCCAGGGGTCATCCATGCCCAGGCCAAAGTTCTCAGGAGCATAGACTCAGTCTACCTACCAAGGAGGCATTGAGTAGGATGGAGAGCATGGTTCCAGCTGGCTGTGTGGCCTTAGACAAAGCCATGCCCTCTCTGGACCTCTGATGCCCCATCTGTACAAGGGATAAAATCCTGTGAGTTTGGAGGAGGGCCTTGGGACAGAGTGGGTCTTGTCCTCCCTGATTCTTTTGCCAACACAACTCTCAAGCACCTGACTTCTCTCTGTGTTGCTTGTCATTAGCAGGAGAGGAAAGGAGAGGAGAGGAGAACAGAGAAGGAGAGGGAGAAGAAGGAGAAGGAGAAGGAAGAGACATCCATCCCTACAGAAATTGTATTTAAGTGTTTTATTGTATGCTCTGGCTCGGGCAGCACCTTAGTTAATGGTGTGTCAGATGATGGTACAAATTTATAGCTGAAGGTTTACATCACAGACAGCTGGAATGAATGACAATAAATTAATTTAAAGTGCTACCAAAGTGTTCCCCAAAGTATATGTGCTTATGAGCTCTGGGCTAATAATTTATAAATGCATGCCTTTTATAATCCTGGTCTTAAGTCTTGAAAGCAGCTAGTTAAAAAGCAGTCACATGACATAAATTATTTTTATTAATATCACAAGTGCATGATTAGGGTGGTGGGAATGGCGGTCACCACCAGTCCATGGTTTCAGCAGCCAAGCATCTCGTCCTTTCTCCCCATCCTCTGGCTCTGAGAGGAGGGGACCTCACAATGCCAGGGTCCTAGGTCCCTGGCACAGCTACCAGGGCCTGAGCTGGTGCCCCCACATCCTAACCCTGCTTTCCTGGGTGTGGAATGAAATTCTCATCCAATATGGGTTTCCTCTTCTAATGGCTTCCTGCTGCTCAGATGCAGAGAGCAAATATCTTTGCATGGGCATGCAATCAACACAGACATTCACACAAACTCAGAGAGAGAGAGAGAGACTTGCTGAGCCTCAGTTGCTTTACCTATAAAATGGGCATCACAACATTGACCTCATAGGCCCCTTGGGAGAACTGATTAAGGCTATATATTAGCACTCAATGAAATATATTGTTATTAGAGGCTGTCTCTACCTACCTACTGTACAAGGAGATGGAAATGTACAAAGAGGTTTATACAACCAGGAACTTTGTGGTTGGTTGGCCTGTTCAGATCTTTTGATAAAATGCAACGTGACTCTATCCTTCTGGAAGCCCATTCCAAACCCTTTTCTCTAACGCAAATCCCAGCAGTGCCCTGGACCCCTAGCTCTGCCATTTTCTCAGTGGATCCGTCAGTGATTCTCTTGTAGGTGCACCCTGTCCTGTGCTGCATTAAAGATTACCCAAATGCTTTGCAGCGCTTCTCACCAAAAGATGAGGTCTATTTCTCCACTTCTTGATTTCGGGCTGGCCTGTGACTCACTTTGACCTGTAGAATATGGTGGCAGTGATGCTGTCACTTCCAAGACTGGATCTTAAGATATGTGTAGCTTGTTTTTGTTTTGTTTAGAGATAGAGTCTCACTCTGTCACCCAGGTTGGAGTGCAGTAGTACAGTCATAGCTACTGCAGCCTCAAACTCCTGGGCTCAAGTAAACCTCCCACCTCAGCCTCCCTGGTAGGTAGGACTATAGGCGTGACTACCATGCCTGGCTAATTTTTTTAAAAATTTTTTATTTATTTGTAGAGACGGGGGTCTCACTATGTTACCCAGGCTGGTCTTGAACCCCCAGGCTCAAGCAATCTTCCCACCTTGGCCTCCCCAAACGCTGGGATTATAAGCATGAGCCACCCGTCCCAGTCTATAGCTTGTTTTGGAGCATTTCAAACACTCTTCTTAGAATCCAGCTGTTTGGCTGTGAGGAGCCTAATCAAGGTAGAAAGTCCTCATGGAGGCAGCCCCAGCCAAGCCCCCAACCAGCGTCCAGCATCAGCCCCCACCATCTGAATGGGCTGTGTTTATGCTCTGGTCAAACCCTTAGATGACAGCAGCCCCAGCATACGCCATGCGAACCAGAAGAAGTGGCCAGCTGAACCCAGTCAACCAAGAACTGTGAGGGATAACACAGTAGTCCCCACTGACCCACAGCTTGTGTTCAACCGTGGTCTCATAATATTAAATGGGAAAATTCCAGAAATAAACAATTCATAAGTTTTTAATTGCACACCATTCTGCATATCGAGATGAAATATTGCACTGTCCCACTTCATCCTGCCCAGAAGATGAATCATCCCTTTATCCAGCACAAGATGTCTACACTCCCCACTCCTTCATCTCTTAGTAGCCTTCTTGGTTATCAGATCAGCTATCAGGGTATTACAGTGTTCCTGTTCAAGGTCGATAGAAACCTAATGCTACATCAAAATGCCTACATTGAGCTTGTCCAATCCGTGCCCCACAGGCTGCATGTGCCCCAGGATGCTTCTAATGCGGCTCAACACAACTTCATAAACTTTCTTAAAACATTATGAGACTTTGGCCTGGCATGGTGGCTCACACCTGTAATCCCAGCACTTTGGGAGGCTGAGGCGGGCAGATCACCTGAGGTCGGGAGCTTGAGACCAGCCTGACCAATATGGAGAAACCCCGTCTCTACTAAAAATACATAATTAGCTGGGCATGGCAGCGCATGCCTGTAATGCCAGCTACTCAGGAGGCTGAGGCAGGAGAATCGCTTGAACCCGGGAGGCGGAGATTGCGGTGAGCTGAGATCGCGCCATTGCACTCCAGCCTAGGCAACGAGAGTGAAACTCCATCTCAAAAAAAAAAAAAAAGAAAAAAGAAAGAAAAATGAGACTTTTTTTGCAATTTTTTGTCATCTCCTCAGCTATTGTTAGTATATTCTGTGTGTGGCCCAGGACAATTCTTCCTCCAGTGTGGCCCAGGAAAGCCAAAAGATTGGGCACACCGGTTTACATCATTCACCTCCCCTCATCTCATCACATAGGCATCTTATCATCTCACATCATCACAAGAAGGGTGACACAGGACAATAAGGCATTTTGAGAGAGAGATCACATTCACATAACTTTAATAAACATATATGATTATTATTGATCTATTTTATTATTACTTACTATCATTAATCTCTTATTGTGCCTACTATTTTTTGTGCTATTTTGCTTTGTTTTTTTGTTTTTTTTTTTTTTGAACAGAGTCTAGCTCTGTCACCCAAGCTGGAGTTCAGTGGTGAGATCTTGGCTCGCTGCAACCTCCACCTCCTAGGTTCAAGTGATTCTCATGCCTCAGCCTCCCAGGTAGCTGGGACTACAGGCACCCACCACCACACCCGGCTAATTTTTGCATTTTTAGTAGAGACGGGGTTTCACCATGTTACCCAGGCTGGTCTCAAACTCCTGGCTTCAAGTGATCTCCCCGTCTTGGCCTCCCAAAGTGCTAGGATTATAAGCGTGAGCCACTGCGACTGGGCAACTATGTCTAAGTTTTAAATTAAACTTTATCATAGGTGTGTATGTTTAAGAAAAAATATAGTGTACATAGGGTTTGGTACAATCCATGGTTTCAGGCATCCACTGGGGTTTTGGAACGTATGCCCCAGGGATGAGGTGGGACTACTGTAAATGTTTGTTGTCCAAAGGCCCTAGGTTTGAGGCCAGAATGCCCCTCTGTACCAGCTCTTCCCGTCAGCTCTTAGACATGCCCAAGTCTCTCGTCTGAAGTTCTGCTTGATCCCCGTGTTCCTCAGCAGCTCCAGCCTTCACTCACTCCCCCACTGGCTCCCCTTCCGCCACTCCTCCAAGAGGGTACTCTCCAAGATCACCAGGGCCTGGCTGTACCTGAGTCCTGTGGTTGATCTGATTTGCCTGCTTCCTGGGGTCCGCTGCCTCTCCTTTCAATACTTTCCCCAGTGCTCCTCTCGGTCCTCACCTCTACTTCTCCGTGCCATTTCTCTCAGGCCACTATGTACCCCTGTTCCTGCTCTTTCAATCCTGGGGATCCCCGGGTCTCTGGCCCGAGCCCTGTGACCTGCACCATTTCCACTCATTTCCAGGCAAGCTCATCCACTCCCTGTTAGACACCAACATCTCCCAAGTCCCTACGTTCAGCCCACATTTCCTCTCCAGGCCAAAATGTTCAACTGCCTGCTAGACTTTGCATTTGATCATCTTGCAATCACTTCAGCCTCCACAGTTCCCACATGTACTCATCATCACCACACTCCCTGCCCCTCCTCCCTCACTCCTCTTCCGAAGATTGGCACTGCCATCTATTCTGTTGCCTGAGTCCCAAATTGGGATTCAGTCTCTTTTCTCTCTGCACCCCACCTAAAATCAGTCACCAGATCCCGGCAAGTCAGCCTCTAAATTGGTCTGAAATCTATTGTTCCTACTGCTGTCACCTGTTCCCAGGCTACTGCCATCCCACGCTGGACCCCCACCCACACCTGTGCACTCAGTCCTTTCTCCACTTGGAGGCAGAGACCCTAATTACATCACTTTCCAACTCAGAGTCCTTCCACAGATCCTGCTGCCTCTAGAACAAAAGCCACACTTGTCGATGTGACTTAGGTGCTCTCCACATCTGTCCTAGGACCACCTCTCAGCCCCAAATCTGACCACTCCCTAGAGTCACACCAGACTCATTCCTCTAACCTGCTGCACACTCACACATGGGTCTTCACACCTCTGCCTTTTTTGCCAGGACACACTGCCCTCCTCCATGGTTCAGCAGACACCACCTCCTGCAGGCCTTGACTTCCCCAGGGAAGCCTAATCTGGCCCCCTACACCATCCTAGAGTGGCTGCCCTGCTGTCTACCCAACCACACCCTTGCCCTGCCCTGCTTTCCCTTCCTTCAGGACACGTCTCCCTTGATGTCAACCGCTTGGTGAGTTATTTGTCTTCTCAGCTGAATGGGTAGCTCTGGGTAATCAGGAACCATTTATCATGGCCTAGCATGGCATCTGGCATGGGTAGGCACTCAATAAATATTTGTGAATTAATGAATGATAAACGTCATCACCTTGCCTCCTCCAATCCCCATGAAAGACTGATTTGAACAGATTTCTACAGGAGTCTCTGCCTTCACCTCCCATTCCCCTGCTCAGCCACTCAACACCCATTTGGGGAGCACCCATTCTGTGCCCAGCCCTGGGGTGGGCATACAAATCACAAATGAATGGATTAACAATACTATTCAGAAATAAAAAAGACCCAACTACCAACACACACAGCCACAGGGGCAAATCTCAAAAGCAATAGGCCAAGTAAAAGATGCCAGACACAAAGACTGCAGGCTGGATGAGTCCACTTATGCGACATTCTAGAAAAGGCAAAACTATAGGAACAGAAAACAGATCAGGGCTCCCAAGGTGCATGTCAAAGAGGAAGAGTCAGGTGGCAGCTGAGTTGCATTGTTCTTGTCTTTAGAGACAGGCAAGGTCTCACTCTGTTGCCCAGGCTGGAGTGCAGTGGTGCAAGCACAGCTCACTGTAGCCTCAACCTCCCAGGCTCAAGTGATCCTCACACCTCAACCTCTCAAGTATTTGGGACTACAGCCATGCATCACTACGCTTGGCTAATTTTTAAACTTTTTGTAGAGACAGGGTCTTGCCATGTTGCCTAGGCTAGTCTCAAACTCCTGAGCTCAAGGGATCTTCCCCCTCACTTAGGCCTCCCAAAGTGCTGGGATTACAGGCGTGAGCCACCAAACCTGGCCTCGAGTTGCCTTCTTAGAACTAACCACATCATTCACCATCACTTCTGACACATTCTGCTCATGGGAAGCAAGTCACTACAGCCAACCTATATCAAAGAGGAGAGGAATTGAAGTCCACCTTTTGATGGGATGAGTGTCAAAGAATGCGGAGAACTGGTTTTTGTTTTTTTTGTTGTGTGTGTTTGTTTGTTTGTTTTTGAGATGGAGTCTTGCGCTTTGGCCCAGGCTGCAGTGCAGTGGCATGATCTCAGTCCACTGCAACCTCCGCCTCCTGGGTTCAAGTGATTCTCCTGCCTCAGCCTCCTGAGTAGCTGGGATCACAGGCATGTGCCTCCATGCCCAGCTAATTTTTGTATTTTTAATAGAGATGGGGTTTCACCATGTTGGCCAGGCTGGTCTCCAACTCCTGACATCGGGTGATTCACCCACCTCGGCCTCCCAAAGTGCTGGGATTACATGAGTGAGCCACCACGCCTGGCCTAGGGAACTGTTTTTAAACCGTCATAGTTTCCACTTGCCCTTCTGGCACCATGGCCACAGACGCTAACACTCACAGTGTCTACAGGTAACAGAGCATCATGGACATCTGGTGGCCCAAAGGCAGCTCTTTTTTATTGTAAGAATATAATTATAATAATGTTAAAAGAGTATTTGGGAAGAAGAGAAAATCAGCCCTCATTGCCACTTATTCTCTGGGTGACTATAAGTCATTTAGCTTCTCTATGCCTCAGTTTTTCTGATCCATAAAACAGACATAATTCTAATTGCTAACACATAGTGTTATTGTGAGAATTAAATGAGATAATTATGTAAAATGCTTTAAAAAACACAGGGTAATTCCTAATAACATTGCAGTATCTCATGAGCTAGCTGAAGGAATAAATAAGATAATCCATTAAAAGAGCTTAGGGCAGTGCATGGTACATGAAAATAAATCAGTTAATGTTATTGACATTATAGTTATGATAATAATTATTAGCCACAGCTTCTCCAGGATAATGTGCAACCTCTTAGACTGCCATTCAAGGTCCTCTGCAAATCCATCCCTGCCTATCCCTCTGGTTCACTCTAGCTCTCTCTGCTCCCACACCACAATTGCAGTGGTGGGATCATACCTCACTGCAGGCTGGAACTCCTGGGCCCAAGTGATCCTCCTGCCTTAGCCTCTGGAGTAGCTGAGACTATAGGCATGTGCCACCACACCTGGCTAATCTTTTTTTTTTTTTTTTTTGAGACAAGGTCTTGCTTGTTCCCACCGCCCAGGCTAGTCTTGAACACCTGGCCTCAAGTGCTCCTCCTACTTCAGCCTCCCAAAGGAAGGATTACAGGCGTGATCCACCATGCCCGACCACCACCCCTGAAAGTGCTTGAGTGTGCCTTGAACATACAACCTTCCCGTAAGTAGACCCTTCTCCTAATATGCCCTCCTTCAGGCCTCTTCCTGGTGAACTTACATCATCATAAACATTGGACTGGGAGTCAAAAAAAATTGGTTGATAAGGTCTACTTTTTGCCACGCCATAGTACCAGTGATCAGAAAAAAAATAAAAATAAAAATAAACATAGAAGCACCTATTTTCATATAGAAGCACAGGCCAGTAATTCCTGAGAACAGGGACACAGATGAGATAAACTCTGATGGTCCAGTTATCTCCTTGGAGGCACATTTGAGACCACTGCATGAAGAGAGAATCCAGGTGGAGCACAACAGTCTAACTGAGCTGACGAGACAGAGATTGGGATCCAGGGAGCCTGAGGCTGCTAGAAGTTGTGGGCAGAGCACCAGAGAGGAAGGAGCTAGGCAGAGAAAAAGCTCCAGAAATCTGCACAGGGGTCCTCTTGAGCCTGTAGCCAAATTATAAGCTGTGCATGCCTAGGGTGAGAATCAATGAAGCCAGGCAAAAACCAACTATCAGAGGAAACTGACTACCGGAAGTTGAAGGGCTACAGGAGCTCATACAAAGCTGGGAGACTTGGAGTTCCAACCAATCAGGGTAAAGAAGGCTCATGGATCAACTTAATAAAGCTTGAAAATGAGCCCCAAAAAGAGCAACCCCATCTACAGGTAAACAGGTTACCTGCCTCTCAAAGCAATATCTTTAATACTCTAAAGGAAGGCAACAAAACCCAAACACTAGGCAATGTCCAGCATCCAAACAAAACTACCGGATGTGCAAGAAAGCAGTAAAATGTGACCCACAGCCAGAAGAAAAATAATTCAACAGAAACAGAACTAGATGACAGAAATTATGGAATGAGCAGCTACATTAAAATAGTTATTACAATCATATTCAAGCATTAAAAAAATGAACATAATGAAGAAATAAATGAAAACCATGTAAAAGAAACAAAACTTCTAGAGCAGAAAAACACAATATATGAAATGGAAATTTCACAGGAAGGAATGAATAGCAGATACAGTGCAGACAAAAGATGTATGAACCTGAAGACAACAGAAATCACAAGGAAAATTAGAAAATGTTTTGAGCTAACTGAAAAAAATGAAAACACAACATGTTAATGTTTGTGAGATGTAGTTCAAAGAGTGGTGGAAGGGAAATATTTGGCTTGAATTGCTTACATTAGGCAAAATGGGAATTCTAAAACATTTGTGCAGAAAAGAGAACAGAGCAGGCCTGAGACTACTGGCCTTAGAAAGGCCTTCTTACCAGGTTGGCCTTTGACTGGTACTAAGGTTTGAGTCTGTCCCCTCCAAAACTCATGTTGAAATTTGATCCCTGATGTGGCCATGGTGGGAGGTGGGGCCTAGTGGGAGGAGATGTCTGGGTCACCGCGGCGGATCTCTCATGAATAGTTAAGGCCCTCTCTCTCTCCAGATTACTTACAGCAAGAGCAGCTGGTTATAAAAGCAAGTTCAGCTTCCTAGACTCTCTCTTGCTTACTCCTCCGCCATGTGTTCTCTTTGCACACATGACCACTCAGCTCACATTTCTGCTTCTCTGCCACGTTTTGACCCAGCATGTGGCCCTCATCAGAAGCCAGCCAGATGGGGCACTAGGCTCTTGAACTTCCCAGCCGGCAGAATAGTGCGCGAAAATAAATGTCTTTTCTTTATAAACTGCCCACTCTCAGGTATTTTTTCATAGCAATGCTAAACAGACTAATATAACTGGCATCTGGAAACCTGGATTTCAGGAGGTTCCCATCATTCCTTGATAAAAGTGCCTTGCTGTGTCTAGATGATTTACATAAACAATATGGTTTATCCTGAACAATGTTTTCCTTCTGGGAACCTAAAATGTTGACATGTGCCATGCAGAGGGTGCCTATGTGGTGAACCCTCAATACAGATGCTGGACATGGAGCCTCTAATGAGCATCCCTGGTAGACAGCATTTCACATGTGTTGTCACAACTCATTGTTGGAGGAATTCAGCACATCTTGTACGACTAGAGTACACCATGAGCAGACTCTTGGAAGCTTATGTCTGTTTTTCTTCAAATTTTACCCCATGTGCCTTTTCCCTTTGCAATTTTGCTTTGTATCCTTTGCTATAAGAAATCTTAGCAGACAGCTGATTCCTGTAAGTCCTACTAGAAAATCCTTGAACCTGAGGGTGGTCTTGGGGACTCCCAACACACCACTGATTCACCTAATGAAGTTTAACCAAAGACCAAATTAAAACCAAAGTAGAAGGAAGAGTATAATAAAGAGCAGAAACCAACAAAAAGGAAAATGGGCATGCACTTACAGAAACTCAATGGAAACCATAGCATATGCTTTTGAAAAGATTAATGGAAATCAGGGAACTTCTAGCTAGACTGATGAAGAAAAAAGAAAACACAAATGACCAATATCAGGAATCAAAGTGGATTCATCACTGCAGATCTTACAGATGTTAAAAGGATACCAAAATAATATTATAAACAACTTTAAGATCACAACTTTGGCACCTCAAATAAACGAGACAAATTCATTTAACAATAGAAATTATTGGCTGGGCACGGTGGCTCATGCCTATAATCCCAGCACTTTGGGAGGCAGAGGTGGGCAGATCACTTAAGGTCACAAATTTGAGACCAGCCTGGCCAACATGGTGAAACCCCGTCTCTACTAAAAATACAAAAATTAGCCAGGTGTGGTGGCACATGCCTGTAATCCCAGCTACTCAGGAGGTTGAGGCAGGAGAATTGCTTGAACCGGGGAGGCGGAGGTTGCAGTGAGCCAAGATCGTGCCATTGCACTCCAACCTGGGTGACAGAGCAAGACTCCATCTCAAAAAACAAACAAACAAACAAACAAATTATCAAGATTGGCGTAAGAAAAACAAAACAAATAGCTCCATATTTATTACAGAAATGTAACTCACAAAACCTTCCCTAAAAGAAACTCCAAGCCCATATATATCTATAGTGAATTTTATCAAATATTTAAGTAGAAAATAATACCAAACACAAATTCTTTCAAACCATAGAGGATGGAATACTTCCCAAGTTGTTTCACAAGCTCAGCAGTACTGTGCTTAATAACACCAGGCAAACACAATATAAGAAGACTACAAACCAATGAAAAATCTCAGCAGACTCTTTTAAAAAACAGACATCAACAAACTGATCCTAAAATTTATATGAAAATGAAAAGGACTTCCTAGAATACCCAAAACACTTTTTAAAAAATAACATATTTGGAGAACTTATGCTTCTTGATTTCAGGATTTACTACACAGCTACAGTAGTCAATAGAGTATGGTATTGGTATAAGGAAAGATATATGGATCAATGGAACAGAAGAAAGTCCCCAAGTAGCGGGACTATGCAACTGATTTTTTACAAAAGTGATAAGGTTATTCAGTGGGCAAAGAATTATATTTGTAAGAAAAGACATGAAAACAAAAAAATACCAGACTTCCAGTTTCTATTCCAGCATGTAAGGAGCTTGGGAATCATCGCTGTCATCCTCACAATAAGAAAACAGCTAAACAAACTGAAAACCAACAACTCTTCTTAGATTCATCAGAGAATTGAGGCCATGGGGCAAACTAATGCCTCCAAAACTGGAGAGATAGACAAGTGAAAACAGAGAATTACAACTTATCAGAGCAGAAACCCATCAGTAGAACCCTCTGTGGGAACTAGTACCAGATTACTTTTACCTGGTACATCAGATCTAGCTTCAACAACAATTTATAAGGCACACAAAAAGGAAAAAAATACAGCAAAGGCATAACAAGCACCAGACCTAGACACAAATACGACAGGGATATTGGAATTATCAGACCAGAACTTTAAAGCAAGTATGAAGTATGATTAATATGCTAAGGTCTCTAAGGGAAAAAGTAGACAACGTGTAACAACAGATGGGTGATATAAGCAGAGAGATACAAATTCTAATAAAGAATCAAAAAGAAATGCTAGGAATTAAAAACATTGTAACAGAAATTAAGAATGCCTTTGATAGGCTCATTAGCAGACTGGACACAGCAGAGGAAAGAATTTGTAAGTTTGAGGATATGACAATAGAACTTTCAAAACTAGAAAGCAAAGAGCAAAAAAGGCTGAAAGCAATTGAACAGAATATCCAAGCAGGACTACAAAAGGTATAATATGTGTATAATAGTAATGTCAAAAGAAGAAGAAAGAAAGGAACAGAAGAAATATTTGAAGTAATAATGACTGACAATTTCCCAAAATTAAAGTCAGATACCAAACCACAGATCCAGGAAGCACAGAGAACAGTGAGTAGGATAAATTCCAAAAAATCCACACCTAGGACTGTCTATTCAAACTGCAGAAAATCAAAGATAAAGAAAAATTTTGAAAGAAGGCAGAAGAAAAAAAAAACAAAACTCTTATCTATTGAAGAGCAAAGAAGGTAAGAATTACACCAGACTTCTCAGAAACCATTCACACACACAAAAAAAACAGAGTAGATTGAAATATTTAAACTGTTGAGAGAGAAACAAAATAAACAAACCAAAAAACCCATCAACCTAGAATTCTATATGCTGCCAAATTATCTTTCAAAAGTAAATACTTTCTCAGACAAGCAAAATTTGAGTGAATTTGTTGCCAGTATACATGCCTTGCAGAAAATGTTAAAATAAGTTCTTTAGAGAGAAGGAAAATGATACAGGTCAGACACTCAGATCTACATAAAGAAAGAATGCATAGAAGGATAAATGGAGGTAAAAAAAAAAAGCAACTTTTTCTTAATTGATACAACAGATAACAGTTTGTTCAAAATAACAGCAACAATGTATTCAATGATTATAGTTTATGGGTTGGTAAAATGAAAGACAGCAATGTTACAAGGGAAGAGAGAGAGGGGAAGGAATACTTTGTTATTACAAGGTACATGCATTGCCCATGAAACAGTGCAGTGTTATTTGAAAATGGAATTGGATTAGCTGTAAATGTATATTGCAAACTCCAGGGCAACCACTAAGAAAAGAAAAAAAAAAAGTATAATGATATGCTAAGAAAGAAGATAACATAGAATCATATAAAATGCCTGATTAAAACCACAAACAGCAGAAAAAGAGTGGAAAGCAAAACCAAGAATGAAAAACAAGGGCAATAACAGAAAACAGTAACAAATATGATAGAGAAAGCAAATGGATATCTATATGGACCTCAATTCCACCTCACATCATTCATAAAAAGGAACTCAAAACAGACGATATATCTGAACACAAAAGCTAAAACTATAAAACATCTAGAAGAAAACTGCAGAGAAAATATCTGCAGCCTTGTTGGCAGGCAAAGTTTCCTTAAACAAGTCATGTCAAGCACTAACTAGACAAGCAAAAACTGATCAATCAGACTTTTACTCTTCAAAAGATACAATTAGGAAAATGAAAAGGCAAGATACCAACTGGGAAAATATTTTGCAACACAGATATCTGACAAAGCACTTGTGTCAAGAATTCATATGAAGAATTCTTAGAACTCAATAAGAAGACAAACAACCAGTAAAACTAGGCAAAAGATTCAAACAGGTGCTTTGCCAAAAAAGGCATATGCACATAACCAGATGATCAACATTTTCAACATTACTAGTTGTCGTGGAATTGCAAATTAAAGCAACAGTTGCCATTACATACTCACTAGAATTGCTCAAAGACCGATGATACCAAGTGTTGACAAGATATGGAACAAATGGAACTCTTATACACTCCTGGTGGCTAAAATGGTGCAAACACTTTGGAAAAGAATTTGGCAATTTCTTATATAGTAAAACATATACTTACCCTGACAATACAACAATACCAGTTCCAGGCATTAGCCCAAGGTAAATGAAAACATGTTCACATGAATGTTCATAGCAGCTTTATTCATAAAATCCCCAAACTGGAAATAACCCAAATTCTATCAATTGGTGAACAGATAAACAAATTGTGGAATGTCCATTCTCCAGAATACTACCCAGCAATGCAAAGGGCCGAACTACTCATGCAAGATACAACATGCATGGCACTACACAGAAAGTACATACTGCCTAATCACAATTTATAGGACATTCTAGAACATGCAAAACTAATCGATATTGATAAAATCAAATCAAATGTTGCCTGAGGCAGGAAGAGGGATTGATCAGGAAGGGGTATGAGGAGATTTTGAGGGGTGATGGAAATGTGTGATATCTTGGGTGTGGCAGTGTTTACACCACTGTACACACCTGTTAAAATTCACTGAACTGTACAGTGAAAATGGGTGCATTTTGTAAATTGTTTCTCAATAACACTGATTTATATATATATATGAGTGGTTGGAAGAATAAATTCAGTATTTTCTTTAACAACCAAAACTGCTTAAGTACTACTTGTGAGCCAGGGAAGAAGGTAGGAACTTTCTCAGAGAACCCAGGAGAACTGGGTGCTAGCCTGGCACCGCCCCTATCTCCCAGGGTGGGCTTGGACAAATCACTAAGAATACAGTCAAAGGTGCAGGTCCAGGACCAAAAGCAAGGCCCTCTGTTGGGTGGGGGAGATATGTGAGTGACGGTTACAGCAGGCACCCTGAGGGGGCACCTGCAAGACGGAACAATGGCCAGTGGGCTGGGAAGTCCAGAAAGCCTTCCCCAAGGAGGAGACTTGTGCTGGCACTGCAGAATGAACAGGAGAGCACTGGGATTTACAAGTAAGTGGGGTATTCAGCCCCAGGGGAACAGCATGTGCCTGGGAACAAGGGCAAGAAGGGCCATGCACTGAAGCTCTCTGCTTGCAGAGCTGTTAGCGCAAACACCTGCTTCTGGGGGCCCCAGGGAAACCATCTGGAGCAGATGCTCCCAGAGACCAGGATGCTGACCCCTACTTCCCACAGACCAGGTACCACCTCCTCCAGAAAGCCATCCATGACTGCATCTGAGACTGTCAGACCAGGAGAGGCTGCAAAGAGACATTGTATGAAAGACCAAAAGCAAGACATTTCATTTCATTGTTGGATGGATGGGAGTCCATGAGAGAAAATGCTTCAGAGAGCATCTTGCACGGGGCCGAGCCTTCAGTAAATGCTGGTTTCCTTAACGATCAGAAGGAATGGGCTTCATTATCCCCATTTTATGCCGGGGAAAATGGAGGGGCTAAGAAAACCTAAGTGGTGGGCCTGAGGGGGCACGGCTTGTGAGTGGGGAGCTGAAGTGTCTCATTTCTCTACCCTTGCCCACATCCCAGGACCATATGACTTCACAACAGGAAAACCAAGGCCCAGCGAGGGCAAGTGACTGTCCAAGGTCACACAGTCACTGTCAGAACTCAGACTTGACCCCAGTCTCCTGATGCCAATGCTGACCCCTCCCAATGAGCCTCAGCCTGGGACGTCACTCTGAGGCCCAGACTCCAAGGGGTGAAGGAGCCCCCAGCAAGGCCTGGCTCTGCCTGCTGCCACCTTTGGGAGCAGTACACAGCTTTAGAAGGCCCACGGCAGGCTCTGCAGCTGAGCAGGGGCTGTGGGAAGGTGGTGAGGAGGGCCAGGACTTCTCCACACTGAGTGGAGGGCCTGGAGCCAGGTGCAGCTGGCCCTAAGCTGAAGGAGGAGGGATGAGGGATGGGAAGTGGGCAGCTCGGACCAGGAGGAGGGCAGCTTGGTGTCTCCAAGGCCCCACATGGAGCCCTTCACGTTGCAGCTGTGCCACTCCCCCCATTGTGCCTTCTGTTCCCCAAATGCGGTGGTCTTGCTGATCCAGAAGATATAAAAAAGGAAAAACTACACACGCTTTGACATCAACAAATCAGGGTTCTTGTCCCTGATCCACCAGTTCCAGGAAAGATGTCTTTAGACAATCAGAAATTCTCTAAGCCTCAATTTCCTCCTCTGTGCAATGGAGCTAATAGTACTATTACTGGAGCATAATGCTATACTCCCCATAAAAATCAGTCTTGATTTTCCTTTCTAGAAACGTAATTCTGACAACCCACTATTGTTGAGCTTTGATCCCCCAGCCTCACTCAGGAAGGCAGGAGGCTCCTCAGTACTCTGGAAGGAGAAGCAGGGCCTTCAATCTCTACTTTGTCTTGGAGACTGCTGAGGCTCTTGTGGTCTGAGATGTGTGACCCTGATGTCCTGTGGTGCCCTGCTTCGCCAGGCCAAAGTTAGAGCCGAGGGTAGGTAAGGAAATGCAAAGCCTGGTCAGCAGGGGACCCTGGTATTAAAATCTATCAAATTCCTCCTGCAAGGAACGCTCCTCTGAGGCGAGTGGGGCAAGTGGGTGCATGCAGCACAGCTCTGCGTCTGATGCACAGGGCTACTGGGAGGACAAAAAGAGAACCATGTGGGAGGCGCCTGCCCAATGCTGGCCCACAGAACGGCCCTCCAATTGCCGGCACCCAAATCCTTTGGTCCCTGCAATCCCATGAGGCAGGCACTGCAAGAAATAAAGAGGCCCAGAGAGGATCAGAGCCTTGGAGAAGGACATGCAGCAAAGCAGGTGCCCAGGGCATGTGGCACAGCACTCCTCCCCCTGCCCCAGAGACTGCCATCACCCTATCACCCAGGGAAAGAGTAAAGCTCGTAGGCCAGGTGCAGTGGCTGACCCCTGTGATCCCAGCACTTTGGGAGGTCGAGGTGGGCAGATCACTTGAGCTCAGGAGTTTGAGACCAGACTGGTTAACATCGTGAAACCCCCATCTCTACTAAAAATACCACACACGCACACACACAAATCAGCCAGGCTGTGGTGATGCATGCCTGTAATCCCATATAATAGGGAGGCTGAGGCAGGAGATTGCCTGAATCTGGAAGGCAGAGGGTGTGGCGAGCCGAGATCATGCCACTGCACTCTAGACTGTACAGCAGAGCAAGACTTCATCTCAAAAAAAAAAAAAAAAAAAAGAGTAAAGCTGGTGCATTCTCAGGGTGTCTGGCTGCCAGCCTTGTAGGTGACGCAGGTCCCAATGAGAGTTACAATTAGATCTCACTGGAGACGTATTTCTATTACCAGGGCTGAGCACGTGAGCCATGCAGCAGCGTCCCTTCTTTCGTTCGAGAGACTCTGCCCTGGCTGGAAGTTGAGTAAGGAAGCCTGGGATCTCGCCCTGGGCCTTAGTTTACTTGTCTGGGAAATGGTTATGGTGGCTGCAGTGTGGACTGTGAGACTCAACCCTTCCTTTTCCCTGCTGTTAAAAATCCTTTTGAAGAATAAGGTGGCCCCACCCTCTATATCTCCATCCAACAAATTTGGAAAAGGGGGAAACAGTAGAAGTTCTTCTTTCCTGGCCTCCTTGACCACTACTGTGGGTTATTCCCAGGAAACCCACACAGGTCATGGAGGACGTTCATCTTTAAGAAGACCTGTGCCATGTCAGAGCGACATGTGTCAGAGGAATTACTCACTTGACAAAGAAGGTGCTTTTGTCAGAGGAGGAGGTGGCCCTCGGAGTTCCCTGACATCATACATCAGAGCCCCCCTCCCGTGTTCCTGCCCTAAGGGTCCCAAGGTAAGAGACAGACCTGGGAGGTGTGAGTCCTACACACAGCCCCAGTGCCCTGGTCTGAGGTAAAGGCTGGAGCGAGCTGGCTCAAGGGCTGGGGTTAGCACTAGGCAGCTTGAAACAAGAGCCTGGGAGAGTCCAGTGGGTGGAGGTCAGTGGGAAATGAAACTGCAGTTCTCAGCAGGGCCTGCCACAACCACCACTCTCAGACAAGGGGCTACCCTGGGCATGGGGAGGAAGGCACTCCTCCCCTACACTGGGCTGCTGGAGGAGTCCAGGGGCCGGGATCTCTGTCCTGGGCAGGAGCCAGGCCAGGCCAGCTGAGACAGTCTCCCTCCATGACTCTTGCTCCTGGTGGGAGGTGGGTGGCCTTATTTTTCTGAAAAGGAAGTCAAAGCCTCCTTTGTTGGCCTCCCAGCCTCCACCTCTCCCCTGCAGCTCCTCCACCTCTCCCCTGAGCCCTCCTCCCTTCTGCTGCCTATAGAATCCTTTTAGAACATGGCCTCCATCACACTCTCCCTTGTTTACCCACCTACAGTAGCTCCCCATTGCTTCAGCAGGTCTCCCAGACGCGACTCAAGACTGAAACCTTCATTAAGGATGCAGGAGCCCCAGTCCCCGGTCTCACAGCCTCCAGAGTCTACTGGCTCTTGGGGACTTCTCTGTGCTTCTTATTTGATAGTTAAGCCATTTGATGCTCAGAGAGGCTAAGTAACTTGTTCAAGGTCACACAGCAGGAGGACTTGAAATTCAAATCCAGCCTACAGAGCTCAAGCCCTGTCCACAGAAGGGCCAACGGCCCAGGACAGATGCTTCAGGAAGCTGTGTTCCTTAGCTGGGTCGAGCCTGCCCTGTGTGGGTAAGAAAAATGGTAGGGTGGGAGCTTTGAAGACAGTGCCATGCCACTGGCAGAGCCCAGACCACAAATCCATAGGCTTGGACCCTGGCAACCTTGGCCGAGCCTCAGCTGTCTCCTGTGGAAAATGGAAAACAAAACCCCTGACCTCCCAGGTTTCTGCAGGAGTGTGGCTGGACGGTGGGTGAACCAGCCCAGCCCTGAGCAGGGTGCACAGGAGGTTTTCCTTCCACGTTCCTGGCTTTTGCACAGGATCCAGAGGCCCAGGGTCGTGGGTGCAGCCTCCACCAACCCCAAATCCAGCAGGGACCCAGTTGCCACCCACACCCATGCCACACCCATGCCCACACCCACGGTGAGGCTTTGCAGGCCCAGTAAACAACCCCTTGCCCTCCTCCCCAGAAGGAAACTTTTTTAAAGCAACAGAAACAAACTTCTCTGTGTGCTGTGTGTGTTGGTGACAGGAAAAGGAACATCACTTCAGAGAGGAAAAGGCCACCGGGGTTGGGGGCAGGGCCAGGCAGAAGCAGCCAGAGGAGAGAAACAGAAACGGAGATCTGATAAGGGCGCCCTGCTCATCTGGGCTGGGGACAAGCGCTGCAAGGCTGGGGCCCTGGCACTGGGGTGGGGAGGGGGTGGCGGCTCAGCCCCTCCTCAGCCCCTCCAACCGCTGAGCTGGGGGTGTGGGTCTGAGGTGGCCTGGGGTGGCTCGGCAAGGCTCCCCTCCTTTGGGGCAGGCCATTTCACTGGGTGTCTGCCCCCCACCCTGGATGGTGGGGAAGAGAAGTAAGGGCCTGGATTTGGGAACCAGCCAGGGGCTCTCAGGTTGGTGGTTTCCTTTCCCCAGCTTTGCTGCTGACTTACCCATGGTCTTGAGCCAGTCTCTCCCGCTCTGGGCTTCAGTGCTGCCCAGGTGACGGTGTTGACCATCTATGATGACACTGTCAGGACACAATGCTGAGTTGGTAATCTGGAGGTTCAGGGTGGTGGGCTTGCTGTGCGGCTCTGAGCAAGTGGCTTCAGCTAGGGTGAACAGGGCATTCCAGCTTAGCACTGAAAGTCCCGCATCCCAGGAAACCGCCCCCCGCCCCTCCCCTACCTCGTTCCTGGGCAAACTGTGCTGGTTGGCCACCCTTCAGCCTCTGGGCCGAGACTTCCTGGATGAGCCTGTACAGGTCTTTGCCAGCTCACTGCATGGCCCCCTCCAGGACTGAGGGTCGGACTTGCCTTCCTGGACAGACTTTGAGCCTGACTGGTGGGACAGGACAGACACCTGTCCTGGTGAACCCAGGCTGCTTCTGGGACAGGCAGGCTGCATGAGCAGGTATTACAAATTGGGACCAGAGTGGGAACAGATAGAGGCGCTGGGGCAGGGGAGGAGACTTGGAGAGAGTGGTCCCAAGGGCCTGGACCTGAGGGGAGGGGTCTGATCAGCAGAGAAGAGCAGAGAACTACATTCCAGGGGAAGCCACAGATTGGGCAAAGCCTGGGAGGCCAGGTGGTAGGGCACGCGACGCCAAGCCCTGTGCTGAGCATCAGCTAGATGGCAGGCCCCAAATGGACTTCCAGGGCCTCTCAGTTGAATTTCTAAATCCACTGTCTCCACTCTCTGAATTCCTCTGGCCGTGTCCACTGCCAAACAATTTGCACCAAAAACAAACACATAAAAAAGAAAAACCCAACAAACAAGTTTCCGCCCCCCCCCTCCCGCAAATAAAGATAGACTTTGCTGGCTCGGCGCAGTGGCTCACGCCTGTAATCCCAGCACTTTGGGAGGCCAGGCAAGCAGATCATGAGGTCAGGAGTTCGAGACCAGCCTGGCCAACATGGTGAAACTCTGTCTCTACTAAAAACACAAGAAAATTAGCTGGGCATGGTGGCGGACGCCTGTAATCCCAGCTACTCAGGAGGCTGAGGCAGGAGAATTGCTTGAACCCAGGAGGCAGAGGTTGCAGTGAGCCAAGATCTCACCACTGCACTCCAGCCTGGGCGACAGAGGCAGACTCCAGATTCCGTCTCAAAAAAACAAAAAAAGATAGACTTTTCCCAGAAACTAAAAGCCCCCAAGATGGGGCTCTGAAAGTGGATGGCTATGCTCCCATGCCTCCCTGACTCTCTGTGCAGCCCAGCCAGCAGGGGCAGACCGCCCCAGGCAGAGGGCCTGCTTCAAATACCCTCAAGGCCTACCCACACCAAGGATGCAGATTGGCTTCTCCAGGCACTGCCCACTTGCTCAACCTCAGCCCTGCGAAGCATTTCACCAACTCCCCTGGTGGCAGGGAGTCACCTGCCCATCCTAGTTGTATGTGCCCAAGAGGCCTTGTCCCCAAGCCTCCACATCCTAGCTAGACAGCCCTAAACAAGTCACTTACCCTCTCTGAGCCTCAGTGACCTCATCTGCTAAAGAAAGATTATGGAGATTTCTGCCCACCAGCAAGCGAGTCATCAGTTCTGCAGCAGATGCCAGCTGGGTGTCCCCTAATTCAATTCACTTCAAACACCATCCACCTGGAGATAGCATCAGATCCCACAGGGTGAGGATTCAGTCCCCTAACTCTGAGCCCCACTTCTGATGCCCACCGCAAACCCCAGGTTATTCTGCCTGTGCTTCTGACCGTTCGTCTATGAATCGGGGTTCCCACAACCCCCTGCTTGGGTCTGATTAATTTGCCCGAGCGGCTCACAGAACTCTTGGAAAAATGTTTACTGGTTTATAACAAAAGATATTTTAAAGGATACAAATAAACATCCAGATGAAGAGAGGCACAGGGCGAGGTCCGGAAGGGGTGCTCCCATGCCCTCTCTTGGAGTGCCACCTTCCAAGTGCCTCCAAACGTTCAGCTGTCTGGAGGCTCCCGGAACCCAGATTTGTTGCGTTTTTATGGCGATGTCATTATGTAGTCATGATTGATTAAAACATTGGCCATTGGTGATCAACTCAACCTTCAGCCCTTCTCCCCACCCACCCCCAGATGGGGGAGGTGGGGCTGGAAGCCCCAACCCTCTAATCCTTGGTCTTTCTGGTGACCAGCCCACATCCTGAAGTGTCCTAGGAGCAGCCAGCCAGCAATCAACTCATTAGCATACAAAAAGAAACTTATCACTTTGGAGAGTCCAAGGATTTTAGGAGTCCTATGCCAGGAAATGGGATGGGAGGAGGGGGAAACAAATATGTATTTCACCATATCTCAAGGGTAATAAAACATGCCTTGGGCAGTCTGGAGACATGGTGAGCTCAGAGGGTGAGGCACTTCCTGGAAGCCCAGTGAACATATTTGTGCCCCTCTTCTGGAAACTGCAAAACCCCCCAGAAGGTGAGAGGCAAATTCACTGAGCGCAGTGAAAGTCAGCTCCACTCTTGCATTGGGAGGAGGGGAGGGGCTACAGAAAATGGGAGTAGGGGTGCTCAGAATAAAACTGTCCCTGTCACAGTGGCTGCTCAGCTGGTCTGTGGCCTCTGCTGGGGCCAGCGCTGGACCTGCCCTGCCTTCTCCCCACATATTTGCTAAGCATCTTCAGCCTCCTGCAACACAGGGTCACGTGGCACGATTTCACCCACACACGTACATGCCGCCTGAGTTACAGACCCCCTGTACTCCATTTTCTCACTGACCCTACGGAAGGTCTTGGAGTTCCCATTATTTGAACCAATAAACTGAGACTAGGAGAGGCAAGGCAGCTTCACCCACATCCCACCATGCAAAGCAATTCAAGCACTGAAACTAGGTCTAAGAGGTCTGGATTATTTTCACCTTCCAGCGCGTGCAAAGGAACCCAAAGCAAAAGTCTCCGGCAAGAAAGGGGTCTTTGGGAGCCACCAAGTTTCTGAACAGGGGAGTGGTGTGATTAGGTGGGCCACAGAAAACTGCACTGAGGACCTTGAGCCTGAGGACAGCAAGACTGGCAAAAAGGCCATCGTAGAAGTACAGGCAACTGGGAGTGCGGAGGCGAGTGTGGGGTCAGTGCTGCTATGCCAGATCACCACGGGTCTCCGTGTCAGCCTGTGTGTGGCCTCAGAGGTGGGCAGAGGAGCAACAGAGGAGGAGTGGGTTGGGATGTGGAGGGGATTTAGACGGTGCTCACGGCCTTCCACACTGACTGCCAGCTTTCATTCTTCCAACACGCCCTGCAGTGGGCCCACCTCCCCAGACAGGAGCAGCGGGAGGCTCAGAGGCAGGCGTGACTCCCCCAGTGAGAGGCAAGCCCCCAAGGCCGCCGCGGGACTGTGCCCGCTCCCCATCACACACCAGGCTCCTGTGCCCACCACTTTTTTCTAGGCTGATTCCCCATGCCAGCTTGATGAACAATCTAATAAAGGGGGCAATCACATTATTCCTGAATGCATTTTAATAAAAATCAAATAAAAGCAATTATGTGAATTTCCAAGAGGATCACCTCTTCTCCTTTCCCTGAGGTAGGAAACGGAATGAATTCAGGAAATCATTAAAATCAGAAACCCGAGCTGTGTGCCACTGCCGCGCTGGCGGCTGCTACACAAAGGCAGCAGGGAAACCCAGTCCCTGGCGGCAGCACGGGTGCATTTCTTAGCTCTTTGAGTGGAAATTCCACCTATGGGTGAAGAAGGGTAATTAAGGGCCAGGAGAGATGCTTTGAATGCAGGCTGCCTTTGCCCCTCCAGTGCAAACTTCCCAGCTTCAAAGGGGACTCAGACTCCCTGAGTGAGAGCTCTCCAACCTGGCTGCTGGGGGCCTGGCGGGGAGGGCAGGGGCAGGGCTCGGGAGAGGGTCCCCAAATGAGTGCAGCTCTCCCCTGTATGGGGGAAGTGCACCTCTCAGCCTGACTGGAGGCCAGAACGCTGGGTGTGAGTGCACAAGGGACCCACTGAGAGTTGGTAGGTACCTGTTCCTCCCTCCAGCATCCCCAAAAGGGACACAAGCCTTGTGATTTGCAAGGCCCTTCTGATGTCTCATTGGTTATTCTGTCCTCCATGTGACCCTGGGATTGATGTGCTCATTTGGGGCTGAGGCTGTTGCAGCCAGAGGCAGCCAGGGACATGCCCAAGGCCAACCAGCTGGTGAGGCAATGTCAGGACTGGAATTTGGGTTCGAAATCCTGGGGCCACGAGGCAGGCCCAAATCCTGTGGGTCCAGGTGTTCTGGACACAACTTGGCTTGGCCACACATTCTTGCTTACAAGAATAAGCACTGACCACCCCAACTGCCATTTCCTGGGCCCTGATCCGAGACAATGCCTCCCTCTCCAAACATCATGAAGTATGTTCATCTTTTCGGTACAGGTTAGGGACTAAGATTCAGCAGGATGAAGCCTCCTGCCCACAGCCCACAGCTAGAAGTGAGGAATCCTGGATTCTGCCCTGGGCTGTCACAGTGTCCATAGCCAAAGATTCTAATGGCCATGCCATAATGCCATCCTCTTCCCAGAAAGGGGCCTTCACTCAGGGTCTTCCAGGTTGCATTTGGGTGCCAGGCAAGGAAAGACAGGGATCCTCCAGCCCCTATATTCACGCTGGCCGAAACTCCATGTCATCCTGCCACCTTAAGGGTGGGCCAATAGTGGCCCAGAAGGGAGCACCTGATCATGCCTCAGATCATCCTCCTCAGCCACCAGGGTCCTAATTCTCAGACTCGGGGGGCGGGGGGCGGGGAGGGCAAGAAGAGACAGGAAAGTGGGCAGCCTGAGTTAAAGGAACAAACTGGGTCTGGGAGGGAGAGGGCCAGCACTCGCCATGGGCATCCTTAGGCAACTCCCATCACCTCTCTGGGCATGTGTGCATGTGTGTGTATGTGTGTATGTGTGCATGCGTGTGTGTGGTATGTGTGTTGGGGGAGGGGTGGCCCGGTCCCCAGTTCAGACATGGGGTAGTGCTGTCCTACACGGTCCAGTCTAACTCAGGTCAGAGCTTCCCTTAATTCCTCCTGCTGCTAACAGCTGTGATGCCCTCCTACAGGATGCCCAGGGAAATGCCCCCCAAAAAGTGTGGTTTCCAGTAGGGGAAAGGAGGGTGCAGGAGAGGATTCTGGGTGGGCCCTGTCAATGCCAGTTTTCTCTTGAAGTAGGGGTTTCTGGCACTTAGGATGGAGAATTGAGCACCGGACTGCTGGTCTCATTGTCCGTCCCCTCTGTTGACTCAACAGGTGCCCCTCTCAGGCATCAGGACCTCAAAGTCCTCCTCTGGGAAGTAGAGGCGGGGGTGCCTGGCCTTGGGGGCTCCTGTGCAGGGGGACCAGGACAGAAAGACACTGTGTGAGTGCTCAGTCATTCCTGTCCCCTAGGGGCCAGCTGCCCTGCGCACTGCTCTGCCCCAACCCCTCAGGTCTTGCACACAGCAGGCACTCCATAAATGTGCACTGTGAGATGTTCAGAGAGAACACAGGCCTGTCCAGGAGGGGGGTTAAAAGCAGGAAAAGGCAGTGGCCCTGCATGCTTCGCAAGACCTATAGCCTTGGCACCCCGTGTATGCACACGTGTGTGTAAACACGTGTATGAACGTGAGCACTCCTGCAACCACGCCCACCTTTGGGCACACCCACTGGCCTGATCATGTGCCTGAACAGCAGACAGGTAAACAGCAGGCACAAGCCCCAGGCAGTCTCCCCACAGACTTGCCTCCAAATCCCCAGTCCACACAGAACTTGGAGCAAACTGGCTAGGACCCTGGAGGTCCAGGCCCATGGGGTTTCACAGGGATGCCCATCTGCTGTCACCTGCATGCCGATTCTATCTTGGTCACTCTGGGAGCTTCTCCTCCAGGTCTGACACCCAGCTGTGCCTGGGATCCAGGATCAAGGCTGTTCTTCCTGCCCTGGGATAAGGGCTGATAGAAGGATGCCCAAAACTCTGTCAGGGGAGAAGAGGACAGATCCAGCTCTGCTGGGGGAGAGGGGCAAGGGGTCACAGGGAAGGCATCTCCAGAACGAAACCTTGGAGTTGGACCTGGAAGAAGGAACTGGGTTCCCACAACAGTCTAGCGAAGGGAATTCCAGGTGGAGGAATGGCTTACGCAAATGCAAGGCAGCATGCCATGTTCAGAGAATGCCCAGCTGCCGGAAGGCCCCCACCCTCCTTCTACTGGCCGTACCAGGAAGAAATGTCCTGTTTCAGGGCACTCACTGGAATGAGGGGGCCAAACAGAGCACTCACAGCACTGAAGCGAAGAGGCACATGGGGTGCAAGTGGCTCCTCCAAGTTCTCTCTCTATCCCTTTAAATAATGCACTTCCCCTGGGAATGAATAATTGGGAGTGCAGAATAGAATGCAACATCTCAAAAGTGCAGTTAGCAGCTGGATGTGGTGGCTCACACTTGTAATGCCAGCACTTTGGGAGGCTGAGACGGGAGCACTGTTTGAGGCCAGGAGTTTGAGGCCAGCCTGGGCAACATAGCAAGACCCTGTCTTTGCATAAAAATTAAAAAAAAATTAGCTGGGCATGGTGGCATGCACCTGCAGTCCCAGCTATTTGGGAGGCTGAGGTGGGAGGATCGCTTGAGCCAGGAGATCAAGGCTATAATGAGCCAGGATCACATCACTGCACTCGGGTGTAGGTGACAGAGTGAGATCCCACCTCTTAAAAAAAAAAAAGTGCAGTGAGTGAAGGGGTCTCCACACAGGTGCTAAAACTTTCTGTTAAAAAGAGGCAGGGAGAGGCTGGGCGTGGTAGCTCATGCCTGTAATCCCGGCACTTTGGGAAGCGAGGTGGGTGGATCACCTGAGGTCAGGAGTTTGAGACCAGCCTGGCCAACATGGTGAACCCTCATCATTACTAAAAATACAAAACATTAGCCTGGCGTGGTGGTGCACACCTGTAATCCCAACTACACAGGAGGCTAAGGCAGGAGAATCGCTTGAACTCAGGAGGCAGAGGTTTCAGTGAACCGAGATCACGCCACTGCACTCCAGCCTGGGCAACAGAATGAGACTCCTTAAAAAACAAACAAACAAAAACAGCAGAGAGTAATGACAATTAGGATAGTGGCTCCTTCTGGGAAGTAGGGGGCTGGGAAGGTCGGAGCTTCACAAGTGTCCCTAATACTCTAGTTCTTCAGCAGAGTAGTCATGAGCATTCATTGTAATGTTTCATGGCTTACAAATAGTCTTTTATATGTACAAAATATAATGTAATAAAAAACTTTAATTGTGTTTATGTCCAAGTTTATGGGGCTGTTCGAGGCCCAGTTGGCTGAGACACCGCAGGGCGATGACCTGAGCTTGGCATCCTCATAGGTGCTGGCACCCCTGCTCTGGGGCAGTGTCAGGGCCTGGACCCTTGTCTGAGCTCCACTGGGTCCATAGAAGAGTCCAGTCATTTCTGGAACCAGATGGAGCATACAGGAAGGTAGGAGATGCATGTCCAGCCAATTCCCTCTCTGTGTGGGATTGGGCATGTCCTTCCCCTGCCTGGGTCTCAGTGTCACCCCCTACAGGGAGGGGACTTTGGCCACCTGTGTCCTGGATTTGGTCAGACTTCACCACTCACCAGATAGTTACACAGGACTCTTTCCCCACCTATAAAGTGGGACTCATAAGAGCATTGCTGAGGACTGCATGAGGCAATGTATGTTAAGGCGCAGTCCCTGGCATGTCATGAATACGCCGTAGATGCTGGTTTCAAAAAAATCACCAGAACGAAGACCCACCACGGAAACAGGGCGGGGTTGGAGTCTGGAAGATGTGTGCTCCCAGCCTGGCTCCACCTCTCAGTGGCCAGAAGCCTCCGGAGACCTTTCAACCCTGGGCCTCACTCTGCTCTTGTGCAAAATGGGAACAGCAGAGCCCCCTTTGGAGAGGAGAAGGTCGGTCAGGAAGAAAGAGGATGAGTCTGGTGAAGGAGAGTGTGTTGCCCACAGCAGGTCAGTAACCAGGGCTATAATCCCCCAAGCCCCTCCCAAGGGCGAAACCCCAGTCTGCCACATGGAAGGATGTGCCCCAGGCCTCACCAAGGCAGCCCCTAATCTCAGGCCAGACCCAGCGCCTGCTCCTGCTCAGAGTTAGGGGCTGGGGCTAGAGAGATGGATCAAAGGCGGAGAAAATTAGCATGACAGTGAACCCAAGAAGGGAGGCCAGGATTAATTCACTCTCCTCTCCCTGCTGTCCCTTCTGCAGCCCAGGGAGCCTGCCAGGGTTGCAGGAAGGGTCACCTTTTACCCCAATCCCCTACCACACACCTGAGGCCCAGTTCTTACAGAAGACGGCAGGGCAGGGACCTGCCATGAGAAGCGGATCCGCTGTGCACACATTCCAGAGCCGTAGTCTTGAAGGGATAGGAATGAAGGCACCTGGGCAGAAGGGACATCTGCAGAGGCTGGAGCCTGGACATGGGTCCAGGGGGTGCACTGTGAGTCCACAGACCCCACCATGTCGTGTCAGGCACACTGGAGCCCGTGTGAACGCGTGGGTGTGTATCCGTCATTCTGGGAATGGGACTTGTTGGTGCTTGGTTGTCAGTCTGAGGCCCAAAGCCCACACGTGCCCTATGTGTGCATCTGCGGCAGGGTGGGTGTGGTGCCTGCAGATGCATTTGTGGCTCTGAATTGATGGTTGTGTGTGCAAAAGTGTGAGCCTTGTGCCTATGAGACGTTGGGCAGCCATGGTGTTGAGTGTGTGGACATGTAGGCGCCTGTATGGGCAGAGGGATGTCAATTGTGGTTCTGCAGCTACCTGAGAACCTTGAGATGAGCAGAAAAGAAACGTGTGAGAGGGACGACTCACAATGGTCATAATTTCCCATACAGAAAGGGTGAGAAGGCGGTTCAGAGGCCCATCCCTTGGGCCCGCCTTCCTGGCTCCATGGGCTATTCCCATCCCTTAGACTTCGCCTTCCCTGCCGTGGAACCCTGTGGAACACCTGGCTTACCCTCTCTGTGCCTCAGTTTCCTTATGTGAAATGAGGGAACTCACAGCGTGGCTGTGAGGACTGAACTAGTTAGTATGAGGGAAGAGCATTTAAAACAGCCCTTGGAACATGAAGAGTGCTCTCCAAGGGACATGGCTGGGCTCAACTGGGTTGGCCAGAGGAACAGGATCTAACCCAGAACTATCCTTGCAGAAGCCCAGGAGGAAGACTGCTTTGAGGCAGCAGAGTCAGGCAGCCTTGGGAAAATGCAGTATGGGGTGCTGGAAGAATCCCAGCTAGGGCCAGCTTAGCAGACCTGGATTCACTGGCCAAGCACACAGGGCTCCTCGCACCACCTCCTTCTCTCCCAGCTTCCCACTCTCCCTCCCCGCAGTACCTTTCCCCCATTTCCTGCCCCAGGAGCGTCAGGCCCATCCCCACACAGCCCTATCTCATCCTTTAATCGGCATGCAAGGTCCACCCTTTATGCCCATTCTGAACTGGAGAAATTGAGGCTTGAAGAAATGGAGGGATGGGACTGGCACAGCTGAATTCGGGAACCCAGGACTTTGGAATCTCAGAGTAGCTTGCAGAGAAGCAAAATGCCAATATGGCCCCGAGGGCAGCACAGGTGACTCTCAGCTCTCCTGGGCCTGCACTGGCTCTCAAGGCCCCTGAAAATGTCCTCCATTCCCTATTGAATCACAGACTGGGAAACCAACATGCCCCTCCCCAAGTTCACAGTCTCTGCTCCATCCCACCCACCAGAACCAGTGAATATGTCTAGTCTGACACCTAGGTGAAACCCTAATATACCTCTCCCATGTCTACAATTTTGGTCCTCCTGTTCGCCCTGCCTTGTCCATCCTCATTTGGTGGCAAGCGCCACCTCTCCGGGAAGCCTCCTCTGATTGCCTTATTGATTATCACCTTCTAGTCCCCTGGCCTCCAGATACCTGGGGACACTCCTTTCTTCAGCACTAACCACTCACCTGTTAGGATGTCCTAATGCGCAGACCAGGGTCTTCCTTGTATCACTCCACCCCCACCCTGCAGGTCAGGGCAAGGATGCTCAAAGGCTGCAGTGAACCATGGGCACATACACTCACACCCCTCCAGAAGCCATACTATTCAATAGCTAAGGCTTTGAGGTGGATTTTCTTGGATTCAAATCTCAGCTCTCTCACTCACTAGCTGTGTGACCTTGGGCTTGTTACCTAACCCCTCTGTGCCTCAGATTGCTCATCTGTTAATGGGAATAATGCTTCCAATGCCACAAGGTTGTGAGAATGAATGAGCTAACATATGTAAGCTCTTACCTTATGTATGGTATTGCTGTGTAAGTGTTGGTCATTGTTATTAATATTGTTATGTTATTATTACCAGGAGGCTACAGAGAAGTATTGCACACAATCTCTGTCCCCAAGAGGATGGGAGTCCAGACAGGAGCAGGAAATGGGGTTGACATTTCTAATCCTACCAGTTGCTCAAAACCACATTGGAAGTAGTTATCACCATCCCCACTTTACAGATAAGGAAACTGAGGCTCCCAAAGGTGTTGTGAGCTCCCCGAGGGCTCACAGCTCTGAGTCGCAGGGTTGGGATTGAGGGCCAGGTCATGCGGCTCCAAAGTCCACGCTCTTTCAACAGGCCCACGTTGCCTCTCAGTCTGGCAGGGAGATAAGCCGTGTACACAAATAGCTGCAATCCCAGGTAGAAAGTGATAAGTGCCAAACAGGGGCGATAAAGGCTCTGGGAGGGGAGGAGACTGCCCACTGCGGGAGGGGCTAGGGTGGGGGTCAGGACAGGCTTCACAGAGTGGGCAGCATCTCTGCGCAAGCTAAGACATGGGTCGCTGAATCCACAGTATCTAGCAGTGTCTGACATTGTCACAGGGGCCCAGGAAATATTTGTGAAAGAAAGAGAGGAAGGAAGGGAGGTGAAGAGGGAGAGAGAAAGGCAGAATGGGAGGGTGGCTATGCTCTGACCCCATTTGGCCCAGGAACTTGCTCCTCTCACAGGAAGACATAGTCAAGAGCTGCCACCAATTAGAGAAGGCCTTCATGGGGTCCCCATTGTCCTGTGACACCCCAGAGAAGTAGTTCAGGACTTTCAGGCCAGAGTTCCTGACAATCAGATGTTTTGCTCAATACCAGAAAGAACTTCCCAATGAGTAAAGCTAGACAAGACTTCTCTGCGGGGCAGGGGAAATGGTGTGTTGGAGCCTGTTCATATGGCTCACAAGGGCCGATTGTTAAATTTTCAGGAACTGCGCGAGCTGGTTGATGGAACCAACCAGCTGTGCCAGCTGGCTCTGGTCGGCAGCTTGAAACTGGCCATGGTGGGGGTATTTACACCGTAGACATCGGCAAATACTACAAACCAGGTTCTCCCCACTTTGGGGAGCCAGCTGTTAAACATTTACCAGCACACCACTGGCAGAGGTCTGCTATGTGAGGGAGCAAGCAGCCCGTCCCTGGAAGAGTACAAGCAAAGACAGTCTCCTCCTGGCAGGAACGAGGCTAAGGGGTTCTTTCTTAGTGAAGGGCTCAGAGCAAATGATCTCAGAAGCCCTGTTCTGGCTCTAAGAGCCTAGGAAAAGTCGGGTTTAAGAAAAAAAACTAAATCAGGATAATTCATGCCGGGAAATCATGAACCACTAGACCCAGAGACTGGGAGTAGGGAAGAGACCTGAGAAAATGTGTGAGGGGCCACATGCTTGGATTTCTCAGGTGGAAAACTCGGTCCAAGGTGACATGGAGAGTCAGGGGCAATGCTAGGACTAGAACTTATGTCTCTGGCTGCCCATCTCACGGTTCCTTCTAGGACATATGGGCTGGGCAACTAGGAAGAGGGGGATCTTTCTGCACGAAGTCTGGTGTCTGTCTCAGAATATAAGCTCTGCAGCAGTGTGGACCAAATCTGTTTTGTTCACTGTTGGAGATCTGGCATACAGCAAGTATTTAATAAATATTCCTTAAAGGAATCGATGTGTCTGAGATCCTGTCTCCTGGCAGCATTTGGTCGGGTGGAGGTGGTGGGGGCTGGGAATGTCATCCTCTGACACCGTCACTTCCTGAGTCCCCACTGCAGCTTAGTGACATGGAATCAAGAGACCAGGGTTCAAATCCCAACTCTGTCACCTCCTTTGACCTTGGCCAAACCATTATGCCTCCTGAACCCTTAGTTTATTCTTCTACGAAGTGGGTTAGCAATCCCTGCCTGCCTCTTGAGGCTGCTGTGGCACTTGCGTGAGACGTCAAGTACTTTTTACAAACTAAAGAGCTGTGTCCACAGGAGGAAGGGGGTGCCAGGAGAGCTGGCTGTGGTGGCAGTGCCAACCCAAGGGTCCCTGGTGGACACTGGACAGTGGCCAGGATGCTGCTCTCTTAGAACTGCTGCTTGGGGTAATCTGGGTCAAACTAGCCAATAGCCTGTGGAGAGGAGGTCTGAGTACCAGACAGCTCACGAAAGGGGCAGGAAGCAGAGGATGAAATGAAGATGGTAAGGGAGAGTTGGAGAAGTCCTTTTTCCTCCTAAGACCAAAGGCAGAAGGCAAACTAGCAACTTAAAAAACTGTTTTTGTCTCTGTAGAGCTGTTCATCATGTTCCCCTTTCCCCCACAAGACCTTCACTATTGCAAGAGGCCTTAATGTGTGAGCTGAGGACTGGCACCTGCCAAGTCAGGTGGGGGTGGGGTGGAAAATCCTCATATGTCCTAGAATCAGACAAGTGTTTCAAACGATTTTGGAAGAGGGATTTGTGTCGCTCTCCCAGACAAGCATCCCAAGTCCCCTCCTGGTAGGGTGGGAGGACAGGCTGGCGGGGAGGGAGGCCCAGCGCACCCCAGGCTGTGAGTGGATGAAGAAGGAAAGCAGGGGGTGGGGGTGCTCCTCCAACCCTCCCCCAAGTGCCATCTGATTTTTGCAAAGAGGGTGAAGGCAGCAGGAGGCTCAGAGCCAGGGCCAGGGAGGCAGGTGGAGAGGGTGTCCGTGGAGGGGCTGCACCGTCAGCCTGGGCCCCCAGTGGAAAGCAAAATAGAAAGGCCCTGTGTCAGCAGCCAGGCCCCTGGGCAGCCGGGCTCTCGGCTCCATTCTGTTCAGTGGGATTCTGGTTGGCACCAGCTGCAGTCAGGAACAATGCCTGGATTTCTTTCTTTCTTTCTTTCTTTTTTCCATTTTAATAGAGGGGGGAGAAGGACCAGAGCCACTCATTGAACAGCTCAGAATTGTGGAGGCATCTGGGACCGTGTGTCCTTGAAAACAGCACAGTCGCAGGGGCCCCACAGCTGGCTGCAAGGTGCAAGAAGGCATGATACACTGGGAGCTCCAGGTCCCAGCCCTGCTGCTGTCTCATACTTGCTTGCTGTGTGACCTTAGGCAGGTCCATGCCCCACTCTGGCTTCCCCACAGCCCCACCAGAGCTTGCCTTCCAGGACCCACTCAATGCCAACTCTTCTTCTTCCCCGAACTCTTAGAATGGCATTGGGTGGCCGGGTGCGGTGGCTCATGCCTATAATCCCAGCACTTTGGGGGGCCAAGGCGGGTGGATAATGAGGTCAGGAGATGCAGACCATCCTGGTTAACATGGTGAAACCCCATCTCTACTAAAAACACAAAAAATTAGCCGGGTATGGTGGCATAGTCCCAGCTACTCGGGAGGCTGAGGCAGGAGAATGGTGTGAACCTGGGAGGCGGAGCTTGCAGTGAGCCGAGATCTCACCACTGCACACTCCAGCCTGGGCGACAGAGCAAAACTCTGTCTCAAGAAAAAAAAAAAAAAAAAAGAATGGCATTTGGTGTGGGCAGTCCTTCCTGAGAGACTGTGAGCCCCCAGAGGGCTGGTTCTGGTCATCCTCCATCCTGTGGGCCTCTATACCTCCCCTGCTCCGGATGGCCTGTCAGCCCCCAAGGCCTTGCACTGGGTGATGGGATGTAGCAGTGAGCCATCCTATGACCTGCAGCCTTGACAGAAGAGGGCCATGTAACACAATACCTCCCTAGCCTGTGAGGTGTCATACTAGGAAATGAAACTCCCTGTGCCTCAGTTTCCTCATCTGTAAAATGAGAATACTAATAGCTCAGAGGATGGGAGGAGTTCATGTGTATGAGCTACTCAATGCCTGGAACATAGCAGGAACTTCACAAGTAATTCCTATGGTTATGCTGATGTTGGAGGCTGGGAGAGCAGCATATGGGGGTTAAGACAAGGAAGACGGCACATCTGGTGGAGGTATCAGGGTAGGCTTCCAAGCAAGTGGTTGCAGATGTGGCCTTGGTGACTGGGAGGGGTGTGTCCCAGGAGGTAGGAAGAGCATGAGCAATGGCACAGAGGTAAGAGTATGTACATAATGCTGGCAATTCTGGAAGTCACCCTGCATGGCCACAGGATGAGGTGAGGGCAAGGAAGCATGAGTCTTGAGGCTGGAGGACTGCACAGCCAGAAGGAGGAGAGATGCTGAGGATCTGAGACCTTCCCCCACCCCTCTCGGGGTGCAGGAGCTATCAGGAAGGAAGTGGGAGGCATGGTCCTCCTCAGGTCGCTTGTCCCAGACTTCCTCATCAGTGCCGCATGTACTTGCTCCTCTGGAGGGGCCCTGACGCAGGTGAGGGGACACTGCATGAGGAGATGTGGCTCTTGCACCCCCTCTTGTCCCCCCACCGAGTTGCTGGGACTACAGGCATGTGCCACCATGCCTGGCTGAGACCTGGCTCTTGTTCCAGCTCTGGTGCTTCCCAGTGGTGCAGTCAGGGAAAGCCATCACCTCCTTTTGGGGCTCAGCTTAGTCACCCACAAAAGGGCTGTTGTGAGGCTCAGAGGGTGAGAGGTGCCTCATGAAGGGAGGCGTTAGGGTCATTACCTATTCACAGTCCTAGATAGTCACAGTTCTGAGCAGCTCCCTCCAGGTATTTTCTTGTCCCTACTCCACTAAATGGCCCCCTCTGAAAGCCCTCCCTAAAGCAGGGCCGCCCTCAAACTCTAAAGTGAACTGTAGCTCAGTCCAAGGGTTAAAGGCTCAGACCTACAGAATCTTAGGACAATCAGAGGCAAAAGTGCTGGTGGATATCCCACACTCTCTCACTTGGCAGATGGGGAACAGGCACAGGGAGAGTTTGTGATGTGCTCAGGCCACACAGCAAGTCAGGCAATGGCGGGCTGGGCACATAGGTGTCCCGGCTCCTGAGGCAGGCTCCCAGCCTATTCTCTTGTGACTCCCATCTGAAGAAGGGGTTGGTGGTTGAACTGGGTCTCGAACCATAGGGCAGAACTCCATGGTAGAAAGTGAGAAGACGGCTGGCTTGAGGGAAGGACATTGGAGAGTCAAGCCTTGGAGGATGGGAAGGTGTGGGCTCAGAGAATGGAGGGGCCATCTGATTGGAAATGAGGGGGAGGCAGAGCAGGGGAGCCTAATTCGCTGAAGGACATAGATCTTCCCTGCTTGACCCAACCACTCACCTCTTAGAGGCACAGGGCTCAGAGCTGGGCAGGGCCCAAATGCTTCCTGTATCCACCAAGGGGTGAACTCTAAATGTAATCTCCATTACCTCACTGCCATGGGAGGCACCCTGGTCATTCCCTGGCAAGTGGGTGAGAGTCTTTACTTCACCCCAAAGTACCTGGTAGGTTACCTTATCTGCACCATAACCTGGCAGTGAGATGAGGGCAAGTCCCTATTCTCAACCTCAAGGCCCAGCCCAACCTGGAGCCCAATCTCGGCTCCACCCACTTAGCAGCTCTGAGATCTTTATTGTTTTGTTTCGTTTTTATGAGACAGGGTCATGCCCTGTTGCCCAGTCTGGAGTGCAGTGGCACAATCATGGCTCACTACAGCCTCAGCCTCCCAGGATCAAGTGATCCTCCGACCTCAGCTTCCCAAATAGCTGGGACTACAGGTATGTGCCACCATGCCTGGTTAATTTTTGTATTTTTTGTAGAGGCAAGGTCTTGCTATGTTGCCCAGGCTGGTCTCGAACTCCTGAGCTCAAGTGATCTACCCTGCCTTGGCCTCCTAAAGTGCACAGATTACAGGCATGAGCCACCATGCTCAGCCAGCTATGAGATCTTGAGCAGGTCACTTAACCTCTCTGAGCCTCTTCCCTTAGCAGGGAATGACACCTGGCTTGTGGAGAGAATACAACGAATGTTTCCAAAGTGCGTGGCATACAGTAAGTACTCAATGAATGAGATTTTCTTCCCACCTCTCTAGTCTCAATTTTAGATGTTCCCTGGCTCCCTTAAGTTCCAGAAGTGAGAGGTGGAGAGTGGGGACAGAGAAGGCAGCTCCTGGACAGGTGGGAATCCCCACTGTGTACCCGCCCCCATCCCAGCCCAGCCTAGGAGGCCATACTCGCCGCACCCTACACAAGTCCTTTGCTTCCCTCAGGGACCTCAAGCCTCCCACCCCCACCATCCTGCTGGCCTCCAGATTTTCTGCCTCCTGAAACCTGGGCCCAGGCCCCAGCAATGGTCCTCTCCCCAATCTGCTGGTGGCTCCCACAGGACAGGGAAATTAACAGCACTTGAGTGTGCTCTGAAGGTTGGTACAACCTGGCGGCCCCACACTGCCCATGCCCTCCTAGTGGAGCCAGGTGACTTCTGGGCCTGCAGGGGCTGAGCAGGATGCATCTTCCAGCTCTGGGCCACGAGGAAGTGATGGCACTGTCCTCTCTTGTCTCACCAGCAGATCTCCAGGCCCAGTGAGGCTGAGACTTTGGGGGTGAGGTTGTTGGACACACAGTTCCCAGTGAGTCCTGATGGCACCATGGACCTTACAGGGGCTCAGAGGGGGAAAGCAGCTTGCTTGGGGCTACACAGTCTATGGATGAACAGAGCCAGGGCTGAGGGGACAACAGGAAACTCTGTTCATGGGGGCCCGAGTTCCCATCCTGACCAATCTTGGGCAAGTCATTCACAGTTGAGTTTCCTCTGAAAGGGGGATGGTAGCGGCACCTAACTTAAGACAATGTGACAGTTCAATCAGGGAACTGAATTCTCAATACCTAGGAGGACCCACCACAGTACTCACCACATAGTAGACAGTAAATAAGTCATAGCTTCTTCCAAGACCCCAGAGGTATCCAATCTACCCCATTACCTCCCTGGAAGATGAACAAAGAGAGCAAGGGCCTCAGAGACCCAAGGACTGGAGCCTAGGGAAGACCCAGGACCCTGGTGGGCTTTCTGACTTGCTGCCATGCTTGCACAGAAGGGGAGGGTTGAAATGATCCCTGGTTCCATGCTACTAAGTTGAGCCTACTTGGCTCCTCTGCCCTCTGCAGCCACTTCCTGGGTTTCAGATGTAAATACTGGTGGGAGAGTAGGGGGCTGGGATGTGGGGTAGGGGGTGGAGCTTCTGGACAGGAGACTTTGAACATGAGTGGTCACCTCCGAGGTCACCTGCATCCCCCAATTCCTGGAAGTGGGCAGGCCCTGGATACTTATTGAGGAATCTGGACAGAAAGGTTGAGAGGGCTGGGCGTCCAGACCTAGCTGGTCATTAAGGCAACAAGAACTGGTCTAATTGTGGGCTGGGCTGGATTATCACATCCCAAATCCTTAAATACCCAGAAACTCTCTTTTGGGATTTTGGACCTGGGTATGGGGTGGCTGCTGCCACTGCTGCAATGCTGTGGATTGCTGGGAGTGGGACAGCTGTGGCTGCAGCCACCGTTCTGCAAGCTTAATTCCTACCTTCGGAGGTTTCTCAGGTGGCCCTGGTGTACCTACCTGTGAACTTAGGCCACCCACAGGCTGAGGAGGGGCTCAATCACACAGCAATGTGCTGGGACCATGACTCCCTGGTGTCCCTAGAGGTCTGGAAGTGCTTTCATACCACCCACCCTCTCCAGGGATGCTCAGCTGCCACCTACAGGGAGGGCGGGGGTGGAAGAGCAGCAGTCATCACAGTCCATGTCCATGTGACAGGTAGGAAGACTGAGGCCCCAAAGGAGTGCCTTTTCTTGCACCCAATGGCATAGGGAGGCAGAATTTCCCCTGGGGAAAATAAAATAACGCCCCCACTCCGCCGCCTGCGCCCCCACACACCCCGTCCCCCACGCCCGGGTGGACCTAAGCAGCAGTTTTCTGAGCTTTCAGGAATTCCAGACTGAGTTCACTGGCTGTGAGACTAGCGGAGCCTTGAGAATGAATTCAAAGCTGGCAAATTCATTTTGCCTCCTCTCCCTCGGTGGTGGAAGGAGTGATCTCTCCGGCTCTGAAGGAGTTCAAGCCGAGGTCAGCGAAGCCCTCAGAAGGATGTTCTAAAATGGGGGTGGGGGGTAGTGCTCCGGCCTGCTTCCCCGGTTGGCCCAAGGTCCGCGCTGATCACCGCCCAAGAGGCCCAGGAGACCCGCAAATCTGTGCTGCACGTCCGCACTCCCATGCGGGCCTCGTCAATCAGGAGGCGGCTCCGGCCAGGCCTGGACATCTTCGGCCCGCCCCAGGCCCCGGGGGAGACCCCCGCCTGGGCCGCCTCCGGGTGCCCGCCCCCCGGCGGTGTCATTGTTCTCTGACGTCACGCCTCAGCCCCGCCCCTCTCCCCCCACCCTTCCTCCCCCACCTCCGGCTCCCCGCGCCCCCGACCCTGCAGCCTCCGAAGCCCCGGCCGTGCAAGGCTCCCCCCGCAGCCCGGCCGGGGCTGCGCCCCCTTGCGCTCTCCCCAACTTGCCTTTGTTATTCCAGCTCCCTTCCTCGCCTCGCCTCCGACACGGTGGCAGCCTGCAAAACGTGGAGCGCGGAGTCACTGCCACACCTGGAATCCGAAGCGGGCTCCGCCGGCTCCCGGCCGAAGCCGCCCCCGCCTGCCGGGGAGGGGAGCGCGTGCGTGGGCGGCGCGTGTGTGTCCAAAGAGGGCTGCGCGGGCGCCAATTATGATTGGGACTGGGGGTGCCGAAAATCAGGGGTGGGGGGCCTCGAGGAAGGGGTATGGAAGAGGAAGTGGGAGAGGAGGGCGTGTGTTTGTGTGTGTACGTTAACGTGAGGATTTAGTGCCCAGGGGAACGTTTCGTGTTTTGTTTTTTGATTGTATGTGGGGTTGTGTACAGCGATGTGTGTGTGTAACTGCGTGTCTCTGAGCGTGCCTGCTGTGGCCGTGTAAGCGGGCATCTTTGTGAGGGAAAGTAAGCGAGTGTGTGGGGGCGCGTTTGTGGTTTGGGGGGGAGCGTGTTTGCAATGCTGAGGGAGCGAACGTGTGTGCCGTTCTTGTAGGAGTTTCCGTGAGAGTGGCAGTGGACGTGAGCCAAAGTGGGCGCGTAGTTGGATGCTCTCGGGGGGGGGGGGTGGGTCGGCTAGGGGAACTCCCGCGAGTGGGTGCACCCAACTGCGCCTCGTGAGTACCTTAGCTCTCCGCTATCTCTGGCAGTGCCCAGTCCGGGGCAGAGGGCCAGGCCCCAGCCTAGCAGCTCCCACGCAGCCCGCGCGCACAGCGCCCCGGGCGCTCCGCGCCGGGCCTAGGGGAATCCACGCGTCTCTGGACTGTGCTAGGTGCCGCGGATCAACTGTGGCCACCACACCCCCGCTCCCCCACAGCTGTCGGGGGGCCGCGCTCTAGTCTCCCTCAAAGTCACCCTTGGTGGTGGTGGTCCTCTTCCCACCCCAACCACCAGTCCCCGGGCTGTAGGAACAATTCCAAAGTCAACCCCAGGGGAAGGCTTTGGAGGTCCAGTTACCAACTCGCTTACCCCAATTCGGGTACCTGACAGCGCCCGGGGCCACGAGTGCACTCCAGGCGGGGGCGTGCCAGCGCGGGGCAGGGGCTCTCGGGTGAGCAGTGTGATTTTGGCTTCCTCCCCAAGGTGGTCCCTACCTAGGCTCAGCATTTGTTCCCCTCTCCAAACTTACTGGGGCTGGGGCCTGCAGGGGGGCTGGGGGCTGCAGGGGGCGTCAGGGAGTAGCGGAGGGAGTAGGGCAAGGAGAGAGGTGAGTGGACTGGTGGCGTAGCGGGGAACCAGGAGCCAGGAGAAGAAAAGCTGGGAGAGCGCCGAGACCGAGGAGCGAGGAAGAGAGGAAGAGAAAGGAAAGGAAAGGCGAGGGAGAGAACGAGGAGAGGCGAAAAGGAAAGGGGAAAGAGAGCGCAGAGCGCGAGCCAAGCCGAGCGCCGGCAGCGGCGGCGGCGCGGCGCGGCGCTCCACTCCGGCCTGACTCCGCACCGGCTTTTGCGGGCGGCCGGCGGCGCGGGGCCCTTTGGAAATAGAATAGCCAATGTAATCTGACACTTCAACTTGCTCGGCTCCGGGCGAGTTGATTCACTTACTCACCCCCTAACGCCGAGTTCCTTTTCACTGTCTGTGGACATTAAAAAAGCGAGCGGCGGCGGCGGGCGCCGGGGAGAGCGGGCGGCCGGGCGGCAGGCGGGCGAGCAGCGATCGGGCGGCCGAGCGAGCGAGCAACGCCGGCGCAGCGCGGTGACCCCAGCCCCAGCCGGCGCGGAGCAGGAGCCGGAGCCGAGCGGATCTCGGCGCCCTCGCTGCGCTCCTCCCGGCCCGAGCCTGCCCTACCCGGCGGTGGCGGCGGCGCGTCCTCCAGCGGCGGCAGCGGCGCTCGCAGCGCCCGGTAAGTTTGGGGCCAGAGCCAGGCGCCCGCTGGCTCCGGGGCTACCTCCCGCTCCCCGGGGACTCTCGGGGTGCAAGCGTGGGGATTGGGTGCTGGGGTTTTTCCCTTAAAGTGTCCCCCGGAGCGGGGCGACCGGCCGGCGGCGCGGGCTCCGCTCCGCTCTCCTTGGCGGCCGGGGGCCGAGGCCCGGCGGCCGGCGAGCTCCCGGCTGCGCGGAGCCGGCTTGGGCTGCGCGTGGGGGCCGGGTTTGTCAGGGTGTGCGGGGCGTAAGTGTGGTCGTGCGCGCGCGGACCCGGTGCCCGCCTCCTGCCGGCGCGCCTCCAGCCCTCGCTCCCTACACCCGGGGGCCGGGCAGGACCGGGAATCGGAGGAGGGAGGGAAGGACCGCCTCGGTCTCCTTCGCCTCCTCTGGGGAGATGCGAAGTTGTGCGCCTGTGTGTGTACAGGAACCGCTGGGGAAAGCGCTGGATTTCAGGATGGCAAGGGGTGGTGGTGTTAACTTGTGCGTCTGAATTTCCAGGGAAAACATACACTTTTGTAAATGGGAGGTGGGGGCGCGGTTAAGTTGTTTGTGTGGGAATTGCCCGGGGAAAGCTGGCGCGCGGTACAAACGAGAAACGCGGAGGTGTGTGTGCAGGGTTTTCTCCCAGGGCTTCGCAAGCCAGAGGGGCGCTCAGGCCAGTGCCTGGACGGGGCTGCCCCGGCCAGGAGGGGAGCCCAGGGGGAAGATGTGCGTGTGTGTGCGCGCGCGCGTTGCAAATACGAAAGTAATTTCCCCGTGTTCTTTCTTCCTCTCCGTCTCCGGCGGCGGTGGCCCCGGGGGAGTGGGAGGCCAGCCGGGGCGGAGGTTGGGGGGCCGGGGCTGGAGCCGGGGTCGGGGGGGGGAGGCGGGTTCTGGAAGCTTGCTTCACATTCCTGGCGTCTGGGCTGGGGAAAAAACAGTGGGGAGCGCGGCCTCGGCGTCTAGGGCGCGGGCAGCGGGCGCGCGTCGCCCCCTCGCTGGGGACATCTGTCCAGGAAGCCGGCCGGGCGGGGATAGGGCGCGGTGCGGAGGGCAGGCTCCCCGCCCTGGAGCGGTGGGGGCGCGGGCGAGGGGCGGCCGCCTTCCCGGCCATTGTGCGCCAGCAGATTTTCACGGGAGACTGCCCCGGAGCCGCCGGAGAAGGCCGGGAGCCGGCCTCAGCCCCGGGTTTAAAAGACACTCCAGGAATGTAAACAACCCGGGCGGGAGGGCGGGCGGACGGGAGCGCGCCAGGGCAGCCGGTCCGGGCCCCCCACCCCTCCCCGGGGACAGCCGGTCGGCACTGCCGCCCAGCCCTACCCCTCTACCTGCAGCAAACTTTTTCCTTCTCTGCCTTCCCTTCCCACCTCGTCCCTCCAGCAGGTCACAGAGCGAGGGCCGCTCCCAGGTGGGCCAAGGGTGCTTGGTACCCTTGCCTGACCGGGGAGGCCTGACGGCCGGGTCCCTGCTTCGGTGCCCGGAGCCCCGGCTGCGCCTGCCCGGGAGCCGTCAGCTTCCTGGGTAGGCAGTGCCCGAGTAACTGGGGCTTTGAGCCTGCCCGCCTGCCTCCCTCCCTCCCTCCCTCCCGCTGCTCCTTCCCCCGCGCGCTCTCCCCCTTCTCCTCTCCCCTGACTGCTTTTCCAATGCCCTGACATGAGGGAGGAAGATTTAACTTGGCAGCCCAAACAAATGTTCTCTCAGAGGTCCTCCAAGAAGCTGGCGGCTGGGCTGGCGGGGTGAGGGCACGGCTCGGCCAGCCTTTCCCTCCTCTCTGCTCTGCCACGGACATTTGGAGCCCTCTGGGTGGACAGCCCAGGGCATGGGAGAGTAGGGCCCAGCCCCAAAGATTTAAAAGGGCAGTGGGCGGCCGCCTGTGGAAGCCCCTGGCTCCGCGCCGGGTGCAGAGCCGCTCCGAGCTGCCTCCTGGTGCCAAGGGTTTTCTGAAGGATTTTCTTGAGCAACAGTTTGTCTCCCTGCTGCAACCTGGGAACCGGGCCTGGTAGACCAGAGGGTTAACCAGTGCCGACTCCTCCTCCCTGGTGGGTGTGAGGACAGGCTGGTTACACAGGGCAGGGCAGGAGGCCAGAGGCTGTTCCCAGAGGTGCCTGGGTTTGCTTATTACTGTTTTTGAAGGTACAGATAAAGAGGCAGGCGCCGGGGCTGGAGAGCCGGGCAGCTTGGCGCTGGTGAATTCCAGCCTGCGTTCGCTGGCGCTTGTACGGTCCCGGGAGTGTGAAGCTGCTGTTGAGCTATCGGGGAAGTTGAGATGAGAGAGCAAGCTCTTTCTTAGCCTTCTCAGCCCCGGCTGCTTTGTGAGGGGGTCCAGAGTGGGGGAAATTCCTGGCCCCTCACTTGCTGGCTCCTGGCCCCAGTGCAGGGGCCGGGTGGGTTTGTGAATACCCCAAGCCTTGGGCTGACCTTTCCCTCTTCAAGTCGAGGATGTTGAAACATCAGCATCAAACAAAAGACACATTGAAAGCCCTATCTGCTACAGAGCACGTGTGAGTTGGGGGCCCAGGGAATGCATTTGGAGGGAGATGGTGTTTTCTTCTGAGCTTTATGATTTTCGGTTGGGTTTTGTTTTCCCCCAAAGGACAGAAGCGTCTCCTTGTCCCAAATCACGAGGTTTTGAAACGCTGTTTTCACATGTAAATCTCAAAAGTTTAGACTTCTGAGAGTTGGTGGCAGTGACTGGGGGTGGGGGCTGGGTGGGGGGAGGAGAAGGGAGCAGTAGGGAGTGGATTCAAGAGGTGGATTTGGCATTTTGGGTAGGGCTTACTGAGAAGAGTTGGGAATAAGAAATTGCTGGACTTATGAATAAATAGCCTTGTCTATGCAGAAAAGGGTTGCTGGCTTCTTTGTGGGGACAAAATGTCCCTTTTCCCTCCTAAGCAAAGGGGGGAGGAGGGTTCTTGTTCCTCTCACAGCCAGGGGCAAAATGAAGAAAGGTCCAGAGACTGCGGGGTTTGGCGACAGAACCAGTTTCTCCCTCACGCACGCGCGCACGCACACTCACTTCCCTAGCCACAATAACAACGATGTCTCCATCCCTGGCCCCCATAGATATGCCTCCAACATAGGACAGGTGTCCATGCTTGACTCATTCCAGAAAATTGCAGGGGCAAGGACCCAACTGAGAAGAGCTGCAGACTTCACTTTTTTTCCTGTTTCTTCCTGATGGCGGGAGGGGTGAAGGGATTTAGGAAGGAAGGCACTTTGAGGCCTGCTGCATCCTGAGAGTTTTGTCACAAGAATACCTGCGTATAAAGCCACTGACCCTGAGGGTCCAACGAGTGGCCATGACCCTGGCCTCAGGGTGAGGCATTGTTGTAAGAAATTCAGGCACCAACCAATTAATTTCCAGAAGCTTCTGTAGGCACTTGGTCGTGGGACCAGGAAGCAGGGCCTGCTGGTTCGTGGCTGGGTCCTCTACATTTTCATTCATAACTTTGCTCCCCAGGGCCCTGGCCCAGCCCCTGTCACTGCTGCCTGGTCTTTATGAGGCTCCTTAGATTTTGTGTGGACAACAAAGGCCAGGCTGCCACGATTACCCAGGACACTGCTGCAGCCTTGCCTGGCGACAGCTCTGACCTCTTAGCAGGATATAGTGCTCTCTGCTCATGCCCTTTGGGGGAGTGCTCTTTGTCCTTAAGAGTCCCTCAGGATGGGGAGGCAGCAATCCACCTGGCTGTAAGCTCCGGGGCGTTCTGAGGTTGGGCCCTGCCTTTAGAGAGGATGAAGGGAGAAGGCTGAGAAAAGCAGTCCTAGGCATAGGCTCTGGGGAGAGGCTAGACCCCATCATGATTGAGAGGGTCTCCCTATTACCGGAGGAGATGGGCGAGAGGACCAAGGTGTCAGGAGGCTGTTGCTTGCTATCTGTGTTGGGCCAGTAACTCTCCTGTGCTGGACCTTAGTCTCCTGATCTGTAAAATGGGTCTGAGGGCAGAACTCCTCCGATCCCACTTGGTTGCTGGGAGAATGAGGCAGATGTGGGCATGAGTCCCCTAGGCATGTGTCCCTTGAAGGCCTGGGAGGCTCTGGGTACAGAATGGGTAGAACACAAAGGGTTTAGATTGCAAGTGCTAGAAGCATTTTGCTGAAGCTGCTCTCATCCAGACCTACTTCCCTGGCAGCTGATTGTCCAGTCTTGGCTTGCATGCCCCCCACAGGACAGGGTACTCATTACCTCCTGGAAGCCTCTGCCTTCAGTGGGCAGTTGTGAGTGTTAACATGTTCTGCTACATGCCTTCTGCAAATCCACACCTCCTGACCCCACTCTGGGCTTGAGATGCTGGGGGGCCCTCCAGACCATAGACTCGTTCTTTCCTGAATGATCCTGGGTTCAAGACCAGTGCCTAGGCAGGCCCCTAGGTAGGGGGACACATTCAAGTGGCTGCTTCTAGCCCTTATTGGGAATGACCTGTTGTGGGGGGTGCAGAAGGGGGAAGGGTCTGCCTGGGGGTGCTCACTGTCATCTGCCTTTGTGTGCCAGGTTTGCCTCTGGGCACTTTCCTTGGAGCGGGGTATGAGAAGGAAGGGGGTGCGTGATGAGGGCTGGGGTTGGGTCGGGCCCGGCATGGGTGCCACAGGTGTTGACTGTGAGTGTCCACCCTGTGGATAAAGACTGTGTCCTGGGAGAGACCAGAACTGTGGAAGACAGTTCCTGTTCCTCAGGAGCCCACAGTCCAGTGCCGGCAGGAAGATCAGTCCAAATAAATAATTAACCGCTACCAGCTGGCTGCCTGCCACGGGCGCGTGATGACAGTAATAACCACAGCCCCTCTCCTTTGTATGGTACTTGGTGGATTTAGAAGCTTTTTCCATCTTTGTTTATCCCCAATAACAACAGTGTAAGCTAGTTACTATTTGGAATTATCCCCATTTAACAGAGCAGAAAACCAAGGTTCAGAGCGGTCAAACAACTGGTGGCAAAGTTAGGACTGAACCTCAGGCCTTACCGATACCAACCCCTGCGCTGCCTCCTTTCCAGTCCACTGAGTGAGCGCTCCAGCCAGGCTCGGACACGGTGCAGAGTCAGGATAGGCTCCAAAACTGGGTGCTGGGGGAATGAGGTGAAGGAGGAGCCATTCTCAGGAAGGGTCACAGATGGGCCTCACCTGTCTTCCCCCTCCCATATGGCAGCACATGGTCCATGCCCCCAGTAGCTGTGTCCCTTTCTTTTGGCACAGTGTCTTACAGCCAGAGCTTGCTTCGAGACACAAATCCTGCCTTGACTGCCCAGGGCACACAGGTCTATACATGGGGCTTCATGCCCTTCTCCGGCTCTGGAGTAGGAGGCAGAGGTGTTTCCAGCCCCCCGGGTCCCCATGAAGCCCAGTGCTCTTCCTTGGGTTCCTATGGTTTCTGTAGTCCCTCTTCGGGCTGAGTCAGTCCCCAGGCTATGTGGGGCACCCACTCCGTGTGAGACCTTAGGTTCTTTCTGCCCCTTGCAGCCTCCACCCTTGGGCCTGGTTTTCTGTAGCTCAGCTGAGTGCCACCCTAGGACAAGGCTGTAGCTAGTGGGGTTCAGGCCAGGGAGCAGCCGGGCAGGCTGAGCTGGCACCTCCCCAGGAAGCCTGGCCCAGCCTGGCACACCTGTGCAGGTAATGACTGTGGCTTGGGAGGGCCCCAGGCCCTGCCTGTCAGGCCCAGCTGCCGGAGTTACTGCAGGATTGTGCTGGGGGAGGCTGGGGTGTCTGAGCTAATTAGATTTCTTAGATTTCAATGCTCCCCTAATCCTGTTAGTCTGGCTGTAATTGTAACCACTTGAAGGTTTCGGCTGTGGCAGGCTGTTGAGGACAGACGGTGGGGGGACTGTGCTCTGCCCCAGCCCCAGCTCCACCCCTAGACAGCCAGCTGAGGGCCTGGGGACTGCCTTCTTAGGTCTTGAGGATGGGGGCTTGAGTGATGGTGGGTGTCGTGTTTTTCTGTAGAAACTGAGTATCGCAGACTGTCAGAGTGGACATAGCCCTTTGAGATCACCCAGCTCAAACCCTTCACTGTTCAGATGGGGAAACTTAGGCCCACAGAGGGACAGAGACTGGCTCAGGACCTTGATGGCTGGTAGCAGTGGAGCATCAAAGACTAGTGGTCTGACTTTGGGATATTTGTCCCTAGGCACTTCAGGGAAAGTCTGGAATTTCCAGGGACTAGTGAACCCTCCAGAGACTTCTGCCCCTAGAGATAGGGCTTGGGGGGCTTCATTTGTCCCCAAGCTTGTTCCCCAGTTGGCAGTTACCTGTCTTATATTCCCCCAGCCCTGTGTGTGTGCACACCTGCACACAGCTGCACACACATGCACACACATGCACACATGCACACCTGCACACATGCAAACGCATGCACACCTGCACACACATGCACACACTGGCCCTGCTGGCCAGGGCTTCTGCCAGGACTCCGGCTGCCTGGCCCAGGGTCCTGAGACCTGAGAGCTCTCTCCGTCCTCCCCCACCACTCTTAGCCAGATACTTGCCCTCTTGGAGCCTCTGATTCAATGCAGATCAGGAAATGGCCAAGCTGTTCTGATGGGGGTGTGTGTTAAAATACATACACTGTACTTTCCCCAGCTCTTTCTTCGAAAGTTCTGTTTTGGTGTCTGGCTTAAATGGAGATCTGTCCTCTCTCCCCGCACCCCATTCTCACTTCCCAATCCGCAGGGGATGACTGGCAGGGAGGATGGGGACGGTGTGCCTTGGATCTTCCCACTTAGGTCCTGTGCTGCCCTCCTCTTAGCTCGGGAGCTTCGGGGAAAGATCTGGAAAGCCCCTTCCACTGTGAACCTCTCTGACTCTGGGGTTTGAATTCCTAAGCTTGTAGCATAAAATTAGTGGGAACTGGTTGCGTTACCTGGTCTGGCCTTTCCTTTCCTAGCCCAGGAAACTGAACCATGGAAAGAAACACTTGGTCTCATCCAAGGTCAGCAGCGAATGGGTGACCGATCTGGGCCTGGAACCCCATCTCCGCCAGTCCATTAGCTCATGAAACATGTATTGAGTGTGTGCTGTTGGCCTGGCACAGCCCCCCTTAGCCACTCTTGAGCTCATTAATAAATGCTCTTCGGGTCTGATGAGAGGCCCAGCTGAACCTTGGGGGTGGGGTTCACTTCTGAGTGCTCAGGGTGAGGACGAAGGATGGGGAGTTTTCAGTGGCATTCCCAGACTCCCAGATCCTCTGCAGCCAGGGGAGTGTGGAACACTCCTGGTCTGGCATTAGAGCCCCTGCCCAGCAGCATGTGTCTTTACAGGGTGGTTGCATTGTGAATTTGAGAGAAGTAAAACAGGGCCGGGCACAGTGGCTCATGCCTGTAATCTCAGCACTCTGGGAGGCCTAGGCAGGTGGATCATGAGGTCAGGAGTTTGACACCAGCCTGGTCAAAGTAGTGAAACCGCATCTCTGCTAAAGATACAAAAATTATCTCGGCATGATGGTGGTGCACGCTTGTAGTCCCAGCTACTCGAGAGGTTGAGGCATGAGAAACACTTGAACCCATGAGGTGGAGGTTGCAGTGAGCCAAGATTGCACCACTGCACTCCAGCCTGGATGACAGAGCAGGACTCTGCCTAAAAAAATAAATAAATAAAACAAAACAGAAACCATCTAGGGAGGGTACAAGGTTTCTCATCTGCCGGGACCTGTTTAAGCCAAGAGGATGGTAGCTTCCCATACCTCCCCTCTCCCCTCCAGCCAGCCCTCCAGGAGCTGACCTTTGTCCTTTGCAGAGCAAATGACCCACTGACTTGGTCCTGCCTTCACTTCCTCTGTGTATGGGGAAGCAGGGAGGTGGCCTTCTCACCCCACCCTAGGAGTCACCTGCTGAGAGTCACCTTTGTCAGCCTAGGTGAGAGCACACTAGGAAGAGCCAGCTAGGCTCAGGACAAAGGAGGAGATGCCAGGTGCCTGGACCTTGCCCTGTCCACAGGGGTCCCACCCAAACTCCTACCCCTACTCCCCGGTGGACCTTGACCGCCGCTGGGAAGCACAGTGCACAGCTCTAACCACTCAGCGACCTAGCCAAGGATCAGCAGGGCACAGAGACCTCTGGGAAGAGTCCTGAAACCCTTTCCTGGTGTGTGCAAGTGGGACGCGACCTTATAGGGTCTCTGTCCAACCTTCTTATTTTCCACATGGGGAAACCCAAAGCCCAGAGAGGTGGTGGGATTGGCTGGGGGTCATACAGTGGGGTGTCTCACTAAGAGTGGGGGGTTCTGTGGTCTGGGTGGGGAGGGGTGGGGTTTTCCATCGAAAAATGGTGTTCCATCGAAAAATGCTTTGGTGTTCCTGCTGTTGTTTACATACTTAAAACAACTTGCCAAAGGTCTGCCATAAATATAATAGCCAGCATTTATTGGGCAACTAATGTGTTTCATGCTTTTCCCAGACTGCCTGGGTTCAGCCCTCAGCTCTGCTCTTTATGAGCTCTGTAACTTTGGGCAAGTAATGTTTAACTTCTCCGACTTTGGTCTCCACATCTGTAAAACAGGCTTACTAGTGGTGTAGTAATAACTAACATACTACCTCCTCCATAGGTTGAGAAGATGGAGTGCGCAAACTTCCTGGCACATAGTAAGTGCTCAAGAAAAGGTAGCCCTAGTCATGGTCACCACCAGCATTCCCATTGCCTTACCTCTGATTTACAGATGAGACGGTGAAGTCGATTGCCCAGGTCATGTGGTGCCTGGAGCCCAACCAAAGCGGCCTGCTGGCACCTAGGCTTCCTGATCTCCAACTCCCTGCCGTTTTCCACACTCTTGTGTAGCACAAAGGGCTGGCCCATCATCTCTGAGAGGCCCCCAGTCAGTCATAACCCAAGTACATTGTAATTCAACCTACTAGGGCAGCTTGTTCCCCTTGGAAAGGCGTTCGAGAGGGAGGTGTTGCATCTGGGCTTCTGTCTGAGAAGCTTATTTTTTTCATGTGTAAACTGAGGCTCATAATAACAATACCTACTTTTTGGACTCTTCTCGTGTGAAGGGAAGGAGGCCACAGAGGGACTGGGCTTGTCAGTTGTACCCTATTATGTGGAATCACTATGAATGGTAACTGACTGGAACTTCTGGCCAGTCACTCACCCCTCCGAGCCTCAGTTTCCTCATCTGAAGACCATGAGCCGAAACAACATAATCTCTTCCCGAAGTGGCTTCTCAGGGCCACCAGTCCCCAAAAGCAAAAGAGAGGGCAGCAGAGCACCCCCACCCCCAAGAAATTGTCAAACCTATTTGCCTGGAGGAGATGGCTCAGAGTAAATAGTTTGCTTCACTCAGCCTTTCCCCAGACTACAGACACCACCCACCCCCGACTTTTTTTTTTTTTTTTTTTTTTGGAGTGCAGTGGTGCAATCTCAGCTCACTGCAACCTCTGCCTCCTGGGCTCAGGTGATTTTCCCACCACATCCTCCTGAGTAGCTGGGACTACAGGCATGCGCACCCATGCCCAGCTAATTTTTGTATTTTTTTTTTTTTGCATATGGTGTTTCACCATATTGCCCAGGCTGATCTTGAACTGCTGGGCTCAAGCAATCCACCTGCATCTGCCTCCCATAGTGCTGGGATTACAAGCATGAGCACCATGCCTAGCCCCACCCTTTTTTTAATGCAAAATAACTATGGAAAAGACCAATAGACCATTTTGGGAAACGCCCGCGTAAACAGTCCCTTTCAGCTCAGGCATTGCAGCTCCATCCAGCGGATGGTTTACCTACTGAAGAACCACCTTTCCAGGGGAGCCTTTCACAGAGGAGAGGAGGGGACAGTGTCTGCAGAGGCAGAAGTCTTCCCCTCAGCCTGCTTTCTTGGCCTTTCCACCTCTTTTTAACCCACCCTCCAGCCTCCCACTTTTGCTGGCCTCCTTGTCTTTTCTTTTTTTGTTACCAGACCACAAATCTGTTTGTGGTTGGGCAGTCCCAAGAGCAAGGCCAACTGGGCAGAGGGGTGGGGCCTCTGCCATGTCCCTAGAGACAGGCCCCAGAGTTTTGCTGGCTGTCAGAGCCAGAAGGGGTTTGTTTCACCCATGGGGGCTGTGGGCCCCCAGAACCTGTGGTCAAGCCTTTGCAAACGTGCACTTTCCTGGAGAGGTGGTCTGAAGCCTTGTTTCAGATCCTTAATTCAATGTGGACACCTGGAAACAGTGTCGAAACTATAGCCTTAGTCCAAGGGTCTGTAGTCCCTGGCCGTTGAATGGAGTGGAACTGTCATGCTGCCTTTCTCCCCCTCTTCCATTCCACCTCAGTCGTGTGACTCTTGAAGATGTGAATAGATTTATGTTCACACCTCCTGCTTCTAATCCAGCTTGACATGTTCCTGGCAAGGAAACTGTGACCAAGGGATGTGAAGCGACTTGACCAAGGCCACAGGGCCTGGCACTGGGGCCGGGGGGGTCCAGGGAATGATGAGTGAGTGGCAGGCAGGCATGGCCTTCTGCAGCAGCTGACTTCACTGTGAAGCCATCCCATCTTGTCCTCTGTGAGACCTACTAGGGGTGTTGGGATTCAGTGTCCCAGAAAGAGCTGGCACTGGGGTGAAGGAAGTCCCCGCCCAGTCCCTCTTCTAGGAAGGCTGGGCAGGACTGGTTTAGGAGTTGCCTCCTCTGGGTCAGGAGGTCAGCTTCTGCTCTGCAGGCTGCATTTTGTGGGTCCCGCCCAGGTTCATGGTTCCTCTTCGGGGGCTGTGGGGACCACTGGCACTTATATTGAGGGGCACACGGTGTCTTCAGATTGCCCGGCTGGTGTAAGCTGGTTAGGAGTCCTTAGCTGGGGTTGTTGTGCTGTTGGTGGGGAGAGGCAGCCTGGGGCCTCCAGAGAGCCGCTGGCCGGCCACTCTGTAATTGTGCATGAGTCACTCTGCCTCCCTGCTCGCAGTCCTCATGTCCCCACCTTCCTGGGATCCTGAGAAGTGGGCTTTGTGATGGTTGGGAGCAAGTAAGGGGATTTCTTGGCTCTCCGCCTGTCTGCCCTGTGTGCCCGGCATACCTGAGCTCCACAACCTCCCTGCGCCTCAGATCCTGGGAGAAGAGCAGAAAGCTCGGGTGTGACTTTTTTTTTTTTTTTTTTTTTTTTGAGACTGAGTCTTGCTTTGTCACCCAGGCTGGAGTTCAGTGGCACGATCTCGGCTCACTGCAGCCTCTGCCTCCCGGGTTCAAGAGATTCTCTTGCCTCAGCCTCCTGAGTAGCTGGGAATATAGGTGCCCACACCACCATGCCCAGCTGATTTTTGTATTTTTAGTAGAGACGGGGTTTTGCCATATTGGCCAGGCTGGTCTCGAACTCCTGACCTCAGGTGATCCGCCCGCCTTGGCCTCCCGAAGTGCTGGGATTATAGACGTGAGTCACTGCGCCGGGCCTCAGGTGTGATTTCTTGTTTGGTGTTTGGCGATGGGGCTGTGAAGCTGTGAGTTTGACGTCAGTTTATCTCCTGCAAAAGAATGGCCTTCTGATTCCTCCCACCTGGCCTGGGTTGACATCTGCATTTCTGCTTGTGCTTCATCTGCAGGACTGACCCCTTTAGGCAGAAGGAGTGGGTCTGCATTGGGGGTTGGAATCCTCATGGGCCTCAGAAGTCTTGGCGCCTTCTGCCTTGTGGATGGCCTCCCTCCTAGCCAGCTCCCCAGAGGGGTCTGGGCAGCTCTGCTCCACCCGAAGGCTCTGGATGCTCCTATTTCTGGTATTCTTGGCACCTTTGATTCCCAAGACCATTAGGGACCTTGGCGCCCATCTCATCTGATGCCTGTCATACGGATGACTTATGCCCCATCTACGCTATCCCCATAGAGCACCTTCCCATGTGGGCTTGCATGCCTCCACGGACAGGCTGCTCCCTGCCTCCCCAGCAGCTCCCTCTGTCTAGAAAGTTCCACATCGTATGGAGCCCAGAAGGATACCTCTCCCCTAGTTCTCTTCTCAGGACCTTGCAGAATGTGGTGAATTGGTCCTCAGGAAGTCTCTTCCATTCTCTGCCTCAGAGATTGTATCCTCGGAGACTTCTCTCTGGGCTGAGTCTAAGGCTGGAGAAGGCAGAATGGGCTTCCTGGGGAGGTGGCCTTCTTATATCCCCTGGGCCTTATTATCTCTGCCTCTGGTAAGAGTCTGGGCAGCTTGGAGACCTGAGACCTGACCTGAAAATAGCTTAGCCCAGGTTGTAAGACGTGGCAGTAGGCTGGGGAGGCCACAACAGTGGCTCACTGGGGCCCTAGGGGAAGAAAGTGGTCTGGCTTCTGCTTTTCAAGCAGGGTCAGACATTCCAGGAGGCTGAGAAGGCCGTCTGTCTTCCTAGCCTCTTGCAGCATGCTCGCCTGCCACTGCAGCCAGAGCCCCCTCACTGGAGGTAGCCAGGGGCTGTGAATAGTGCTTCCTCCCCTGTGGACCAGCACCCAGCTCCTTACTGAGCTCCTCTCTGCCTGGCCCTGCCCCCTGCCACTTAGGCGCATCTTGCCTAAGTGTCTACAGGCCCCTGAGACCTGGGCTCTGTGCAAGGAGCGCTGGATTTAGAGACAGAACTTCTGGCCTCCTCCTGCCAGCATCGCTGGGGGCTGTCGCACGAGTCCAAGGGGAAGGCCAGCACGTTGCATGCTGTCCAGTATCACTGCATCGGGGAGTGTAATGTTTCATTACCATGTGCAATGATGGTAATGGCAGCACAGAAAGGCCCTGGAGACCATCCAGGCCAACCTTCTCATTTAGATGCTGAGTCAAACCCCAGAGGGGACGAGGTCACACGACAAGTCCCTGGCAGAGCTGGAGCTAAAATCCAGGTGTTCCCACCATCTAGCCAGTGCCCAGCCCTGCCTGTTACTCCACAGAAACCCTTTGCTGGAGTAAGGCACAGGAGAGGTGCCTCCATGGCTGTGGCAGTGGCACTGGCCTGGCCTGGGACTCACCTTCCTCATTTTGCAAAGCGGCTGGGCCTTTCGGCTCTGGCTGTGCCCACCAGAAACACTCGTCCTGGGGGCAGGCACTCGGTGCCTATGGTCTTGGTAAGACAGCTGGCTCCTCCAGCCTGGGGGCCGCTGCCCTATAGCAGGACACTTTCTCTCACTTCCTGGCTTATATGGGGCTGCCTTGCATTCCGCCTTGGGTGGCAACAGGGTCCTCAGGAGCCCACCTGAGACCCCACGCCCAGCTTTTTGGCTCATCAGGCTCATTTGGTGGCCTAGACCATGGCTTGAATTTATGGTCTGAGATGCAGCCTGGTGTGATCCCTTCCAGGCCCCTAAGACCCAAAGATG